>NC_000016.10:65168560-65471591 GCF_000001405.40 Homo sapiens
TTTCTCCATGTTGGTCAGGCTAGTCTTGAACTCCTGACCACAGGTGATCCAGCCGCCTTGGCCTCCCAATGTGCTGGGATTACAGGTGTTAGCCACTGCGCCCGGCCTATTTATTTTTAATCTTGAAGTGCTAACACCATCCCTGGTGCAGAATATAAGTATGTGATCAGTAAATCTTTCTTATGCTGATATATATTATTCAGGCAGTGAATATTAAATTAGTTCAGAGAACAATGTATATTATTGAAGAGGGAGTAGTCAGGGGGAGTTTTTTTGGGGGGATAAGGAAGGATGGGTGGAGAGCCAGAGTAGGGGCTAAGAAATCAAAGATGGCTATAACTGCACATGCAAGGGAATAGGGATGTACGTAAACATGGTTCATTTGAGATCAGCAGGAATGTTCCCTTTTGGCACTGATGCAATTTATTTTACTTTATTCCCTCTTTCACGCCAGAATTTCAGTTTTAGCCTCCTTCTTTCTCTTTGACATTGAACAGAAGGGGAAGAGGAAGGAATTCAAGATAACTGGTCAGAAGGTACTGTTTTCCATCAGGCACACTCATCCACTCATCCATAAACCCATTCATTTTTCCCATTTATCTCATCCAGTTGTCTACCTATCAAGTCAAACTTGTACAAGTAAACCTAGTCTCATCCAAAAGAACAATGGATATCTAATTCAAAAAGGAGTAAAAATGATGTCTTCTGGCTGGAAAATGAATTGAAGAGTTAAATTAGCTAGACAACAAAGGGTTGGCAGAAAGAGGTACAGTCACCAGGCAATAAATCACTCTACCAATATCAATAACAATTAATGTATTGAGGAATTTGCAAATAGCTATAACTAGTGCCAGATCATTCTCCATGCAGTGAGAGAGCACAAAGAGTCTAACCACTCCTTAAGACACCTCTGCCAGCCCAAAGCCTTCTGATGTCTCTCTCAAATATTACTGATGTTCAGTCACAAAAATTTACTTGGAAAAATAATCCACCATTATAATGGGCTACACAGACCCACATATGAGTAAAGAGCCTATTTATTCAGCTACTGAAAATGCTGCTGGAAAATACCTTTCAGCAACCAGTTATCTTTGGGAAGAGCCTTGGCGGAAGAGTACTGCCTTGCCCAACTGGTGCAGCATGCATCCAATGTCTCGTTGACACAGGAGTGTGAAGACCTATTTCTTCACTCCAACTCTAAAAGGCCATCCCAGCTTCAGATGTCCTCATGACATCACTCGAATCCTTTGTTAAAACTACCTTGCATCTTCATCACTCCATCTACCCAATTTTTCCTTCCCTATCCTTTTGTAGGTGTTGATTCCAAGAGTACTCTATAATAAAGTAACTGCAGCATTCATCTCCATCTCAGGGAATCAAACCTGCAGTAGAAACGAAGACCTATAGGGGAGCTTTCCAAGGGAGGCTCAGACAGATGCAGATGATCTACTGAGGCCCCGTAGTCACATCCTGCCTATGCAGAAAGTAATTCATAGTTCTCTGAGATCAGCCTAGTGAAAGCCACACTAACAAAACAGCTTCATTCAAAATTACCTTATAAGCAGGAGGCTCAGAGAATCAACACTCCAAGACAAGGGTGATCATACCACATTAATTAATCCAATGTCTTTAATTTACTATGAGGAAATGAAAGTCCATAGGAAATCACTGATGGGGCAGAACAAGGAATTCTGCCATTAGTTTTATGATCCCTCAATATGTCTTCCTGTTTTATGTGTACTAACTAGAAAATTGTTACTCTTAGGATGTCAGGAACAAGGGGGACTATAATAATTAGGGCTTGAGTATCACTTGAGTCTTCACGCCATCATGAGTAGGAGCTCACCAAAGGAAACTGTTTAGTATCTCAGGTCAGGTCATGTAGGAAGTTAGCTAATAAGTTAGCTAATAAGATTTTTCAAATCTTATTCTGTGAGACACACTGTAATCTGGTAACTATTCCCCCATGTGGGCTTCTATCAACACATCTATATTTCCACCCATTCTTTTACAACTCTTTCTAGATATGATTGTGGGCAATCATTTGGATTCACATCAATATTTTCTTGTTACTACACCCATTTTCCCCCTGCTTTCCTCACCACATGTGTTACTGACAGTTCTTTATATTATTTAATGATATTTGTTCAAAGATATTTAACAAGGAAACCTGATCTGGAACTAGGACCCAGAACTTCCAGTCCTGAAATTTTGATTCCAGTAAATTGATGTAGAAACCAAAGGCACAGGTAAAAATAAGAAGTTAGAAAGGTGAGGGTTTGATTAGTAAAAGAAAATAGTGCAGTTTTACATATACAGGTATAAAGGGGGGGACATATTGTAAATTATTTTTAATGCAAGGCTAAAAATTGGAAAGTTAATCGAGTGTTCAATGGGAGCCAATAAGTGTTTTGAAGATCATGAGAATCTGTTGGCTGTATGATTTATTGGAGAAGAGAAAGTTTGGATGTGGAAAGTGAGCTAGGGAGACCGTTGCAAGTTTAGGAATGAAGCTATGGGGATTTGCAGATAAAATTAGAAGGAGAGAATGAATGTTAAATGTGTTTGAAAGATTGATTCTAAAAGAAGTAGAGTGGTTAAGTGAAAAGACTCTGGAATTTGGCATTACTAAGGCATGGATTTGCAACATAGGTCCACCACATTTGTTTTGGTATAAACATCTAAACCTCATTTTCCCTAATAAAGTGGGTATATAAAGCTTACTTCACATGGAAAGTATTGATACCCTACAAATGCTGGTTCTAATACTATGATTTTGAGAGAGGGCAGGTAGGGGATCCAGAATGACCCCCAGGTATCTCACTTAGATGAATGGATTGGTGAAGATGGATTTTCCTGAAATAATAATAATAATAAACTGGGAAGAAGGATTGGAGAGGTTTCAATTCAATTTTGAAGCAGTTGGTTTGGAGGTACTTTCACAACACCAGTTGGAGATGCCCAGGTATTGACTGGATATATGAGTATGAATTAGAGGAGCATCATCTCGCTGAAGAGACAGATTTGGGCAATGACTCATAGAGATAAATAAAAATGGACACCAAGTAGTGACTGGCAGAATAAACGATGTGAATCCTTAAGTCTAAATCTTGTGAAACAATAAGGATTGCAGTTTGGGAAATGGGATGGAAGGTTATACACACACACACACACACACACACACAAACACACACACAAACACACACACAGTGAGAGAGCCTTTAGAAAGATATCAATAGAACCAACAACATGGATTATGAAGAAACACAGAGGTGAAAGAAAGAATGTAAAAACAGAATGATATGTAAGCATGTGTGGGTGCATAGGGGTGTAGTCATCGTATACTCCATAACAAAATTTCTAAAACTGGTCTCTACGGAACACCAGTCCCATGAATTAGCTCCGTGAAAGAAAGTAGAAGGAAACTTTGGGTGTTGCTTTAAGCTCTGACAGTCTCAGAGATTCCTAGAGTAAAACACCTTATTAAAGAATCTCAGAAATTTAGCAGTAAAGCAATTTGCTTAAATCAAGTGATATGGTTTGGCTGAGTCCACCCAAATCTCATCTTGAATTGTAGTTCCCATAATCCCCACGTGTTGTGGGAGGAACCCAGTGGGAGGGAATTGAATCATGGGGGCAGTTATCTCCATGCTGTTCTTGTGATAGTGAGTGAGTTCTCATGCGATCTGATGGTTTTATAAGGGGCTTTTCCCCACCTTCACTCTGTACTTCTCCTGGCTGCCACCATGTGAAGAAGGATGTACTTGCTTTCCCTTTCACCAGAATTGCAAGTTTCTGGAGGCCTCTCCAGCCATGCTGAACTGTGGGTCAATTACACCTCGTTCCTTTATAAATTACCTAGTCTTGGGTATGTCTTTATTAGCAGCATGAGAACAAACTAATGCATCAGTGTTTTAGAAATTGCTTCTCATTTTCCTACTCAAACATCTTTCAACAAATTAGAATTATTCAGGACAGAGTGCAGTGAATATTCACCATATGATCAAATTCCTCTAGAAGGGGCCAAAGAGTCACAGGCCTCACGGAAAATAATTGGAATGAATTGGTAGAAGGGAAATGAGATTGTAAGTGATAGAATTAATGCCTGAGAGAAGCATGGGAGGTAACTGTAGGCTTTATTTCATGGAATAAAATAATGGTGATCATTTGTAGGAGTACTATGCTCAAGGGAATTTTTATTATTTTTTTCTTTTTATTTTGAAATAATGATAGACTCACAGGAAGTTGCCAAAATATGTACCAAGAGGTCCTATATGGCCTTCACCAACTTTTCCCCAATGATGACATCTCACATAACTATGGTACAACAAAAACATCAGAAAATTGACATTGATATAAATCACAAGGCTTATTCAGGTTTCACCAGTTTTATATGAACTTGTGTGTGTGTGTGTGTGTGTGTGTGTGTGTGTGTATAGTTATATACAGTTTTATCACATGCGTGGATTTGGGTAAACACCACCACCACCACATTCAATTCAAGACACAGAATGTTTTCATTGCCACAGACTACTTATTTGTCTTATTCTTTTCATCCTTTATATTATCCCACCAATCCCCTACACCAACCCAAAGGTCTGGCAATGACTAATCTCCATCTCCATAATGATTTTCTATTTCAAAAATGTTATATAAATGGAATCATACAGCATGTAATATTTTGAGACTGGCTTTTTTTCATTCAGCATAATTCCCCTGAGATCAACCCAAGCTTCTGTGTGTAGTCGTAGTCCACTCTGTTTTTACTGCTGCATAGTAATTAATGGTATAGATGTACCACAGTCTGTTGAATTATTCACCTGTTGAAAAACATTTAGGTTGTTTATAGGTTTTCCCTAGTATGAATAAAGCTACTATGAACATTTATGTACAGGTTTTTATATAAACTTAAGTTTTCATTTTTCTAGGATAAATGCCATCTGTGACTCCTGAGTTATAAAGTAGTTGTATATCTAGTTTTATGGGAAACTGCCAAACTGTTACCCAGAGTGGTGGTACCATCTCACATGCCCACTAACAATGGATGAGTGATTCAGTTGCTCCTCCAGATTTTCAGCATTTGGTGTTTTCTCTATTTTTATTATTGCCATTCTAATAGGTATGTAATGATATCTCATCATGGTTTTAATTTGAGTTTCTATAACAGCTAGTGAGGAACATCTTTTCGTGTGCTTATCTGCCATTATTTGCTTATATCTTTGGTGAAATGGCTCTAAATGTATTTTGTCCATTTTCTAATTTGAACGTTTTATTAGTTTTTTGTTCTCTTGAGTTTCAAGAGATTTTTATATATTCTAGATACTAATCCTTTTCCAGATACACGGTTCGCCAATACTTTCTCAGAGTGTGTAGCTTGTTTTTTCATCCTCTTGATAGGGTATTTCAAAGAGCAAATTTTTAAAATTTTGACAACAGCCAATTTATCCTATTTTTCTTTTATGGCTTTTGCCTTTAGTATCAAGTCTAAAACATTTTTGTCTAACTCCAGATTTTAATGATTTTATCTTGTTTTTCCTTTTTTTCCAAAAGTTTTATAGGTTTACATATTTTATTTAAGTTTGTGATCTATTTTAAATTGATAATTGCACAAGTTGTGAGTTTAAAGTCCAGATTTAGTTGATGTTGTTATTGTTTTGCCTGTGGATGTCCAAATGCTACATTTGGACTCTTTTGTTTTTTTTCTTTTTCAGACGGAAACTCGCTCTGTCACCCAGACTGGAGTGCAGTGGCATGATCTCAGCTCACAGCAACCTCTGCCTCCCAGGTTTAAGTGATTCCTCTGTCTCAGCCTCCCGAGTTGCTGGGATTACAGGTGCTCACCACCACACCTGGCTATTTTTGTTTGTTTGCTCGTTTTTTGAGACGGGGTTTCACCATATTGGTCAGGCTGGTCTCGAACTCCTGACCTCAGGTGATCCACCCGCCTCGGGCTCCCAAAGTGCTGGGATTACAGGTGTGAGCCACCGCACCTGGCCCATTTGGACCATTTTTAGGCAAGGCTACCCTTTTGTGCTTTTGTCAAAAATCAGTTGGGTGTATTTGTATAGGTTTATATCTGGGTTCCCCATTCTGTGCTACTGGCCTGTGCCCTTCTCTCTGCCAATACCAGTCTGCCTTGATTATTATTGCCATAGAATAGCCTTAACACCAGACAGGATGACTCCTTTACCCTTTTTTTTTTCACAGTTGCTTTATCTGTTCTATGTCTTTTGCCTTTCCATATGGATTTTAGAATAAGCTTGTCTATGTCTACAAAAAACCTTGCTGAGATTTTAATAGGAATTGTATTAAACCTACAGATTAATTTGGGGGAGAATCAACTTTGTATTCTGTTGATTCTTCAAGGAAATGTTTTAAAATATTTTGTTTTATGAAGAGACTTCAGCAGTTTTAGAAAGTGAGGGATTCAAAGGGGGTATGTGTAATTGAAGTGCGTCACTGAGGAAACTGACAGGGGAGGCTTGAGGGTTCAGGTGGAGGGGCTCAGCTGCAAACTCCAAACACTCAGACCAACATAAACTGAAAGGAAGAGAATCCCAGGGAACTCACTGACCAACAATGAGAAGAAAGAAGCTATACTTGACCTTGAAGCCGGACTTCCAGATTCAAAGGGAAATGTAGACTGTATCTAGAAAACCACATCTAGTTCTCATCTCCAGCGTGGTGAGAAGCGAGAATGAAAATGTCTCTGAGAACCCATGTGAACAGGGCTCTGCAATAAATGAACTGCAGTTTAGACTGCAAGAGAGAGAGAAAAAAAATGAATTAGGAAAGCCTGCTGCTTGCTGCTCCAAGAATAAAAGCTGTAGGTGTGGCCTCAGGGGTCCCAGTCTCGCTTCCCTTCCAGTATTCTGCCTGAATCCATCTCTAATGCAAGAGATCACAACTCTCCATCTTTGGGTTTTGCCCAAAGGAACCTGCTGCCTGCCTTTACCACCTGAGTTCATGTCCTCTAACGCTGTGTGATCACCTGTCCAGAATGACTCTCCTCACTCTTGTACCCATTCTTCCTCACTAACAGCTCCCACCTATACTAACCCTGGCCCTGCATTACACGAGCTGCTTAGCTCACCTGCTGATAACTGGCTAAGAGCATAGTATACCTTCATCCGTCAGAGAAATGACAAGAGTTCTGCAGAGAAATGCCTGAAATAGGACTGGTGAGATACTGATCCACATATGGACGTACATGTAGGCTTTCTGGTGGAAACTCACACTCTTTTTTTGTTTGTTTTTTTATTTATACCCACTGCTCCATTTGCATCAAAGTCATAAACCTCCACCTGCTACCACCCACCCCCCCAACACAACGCTTCCTAATTTACAGATTGCAATCTCCTGGTAGCTTTCTCATTTTTTCTTGGTAGGTTTAAAAGCTTGATGCCACCAACTGTTTCTCCCCCATCTGCTTTTCTGTGTTCCTTCGGAGAAGTAAAGCACAGCCTCTTGTTGCACCTAAGCCCCTCCACATATCAAGAAAGCTTACTGTGAGAAGCCTTCGACGAACAGCCTCAGGAATGTAAGGTTTGAAGTGATGCACTCTGGAATGGAAATGCCAGTCGCACCACTCCACACCTTTGCCACCTTTGTCACTTTTCTCTGATGTGCCATCTCTTCATCTGTAAAATGCAAACAAGAATTCTTACCTCATAGTAGTGTTGATGGGATTCTGTGAGATGATGTGCTGGAAATATTCTGAACATGGATAGTGATGATGGTTGCACATTGTGGTCTGGAAACCACCAAATTGTACTCTTCAAAATAATTAAAATGGTGAATTTTATGTTATGTGAAGTTTGTCTCAAAAAAAAAAAAGATTAAAAAAAGTATTTAACACAGAACCCCATAGCCAGAATTCAGCAAATCTCATTACCTCCTCATCAGATGAAAAGTTGCAGCTCCTGACAGAAAGCCTGGGGCCTTTTGCTTTAGACCAAGTGAAAATTTTAGGAGGTAAGTCCTAAAATCCGAGAGCATTCGCTGGGAAATACACAGGGGTAGAGCTGGAAGGACTTTCCATGTCTGCTGATCATCCCAACAGCCTGCTCCCCTCAGCCACAAGGTTCAAGAGGCACCCTTGGCCTGGACTTTCCTGGCTCTCTCGTCCCTCTTAGCCCTGGCCTTGTCCCCAGGGCTCTTCCCTCTGAGAAATGATTGAAGAGTTGGCTTTCAGACGTTGGTCTCCAAACAGCTCCAGAAGCAGCTGGAAGATTTCATGTGGATGATGATTGTTCACACTTTGACCCATTTAAAAAAAAATAAAACTAAAGCGTGGGAGAGGATGGGTCAGTGAAAATAAACGTCTTCTCTGGAAGACATCCCACAGCTGTGTGCTGAGGCAGCACAGTGTGGAGGTATTGGAGCTTCCAATATGCATAGTTGTGGTTAGGAAGAAGAGAAGACGCCGATTCATAGGTCCCCACAGCTTCATGGTGGCTCCAAACCAGGAATTAGAGGTACCTTTCCTTAACACTCGGATTTGTCAGATGCTGAATGCCCTCAGCATTTCAGAGTCGATTGAATTCCTTTCAAAGGTGGGATGACACCAAGAGCAAGTTTGTGGTTACTCCATGGAAGCCTGAGTTGGATAATGTGTTGGGGTTCTGGGTCAGGAAAGTGCACATCAGAATCATGGTTCCACCAGCCTGGGCAACATATTGAGACCCCCATCTCTACACAAAATAAAAATCTTAGCCAAGTGTGCTGGTACATGCCTGTAGTCCTAGCTTCTCAGGAGGCTGAGGAGGGGGCTGACTTGAGATCAGCTGTTAGAGGTTGCAGTGAGATGTGATCATGCCACTCCACTCCAGCCTGAGTGACAGAGCAAGATCCTGTCTCAAAAAAAAAAAAAAAAAAAAAAAAAAAATCATGGTTCCACCACTTACTGATGACCTTCATCAAATCACATGACCTCTCAGGTCCTTAATGTCATAATCTCTGAAATGGTTTGCCTTGCTGTTTCCTTGGGAAGACAAGAAGTCTTGTCTTAATGCGATGAGCTTATAGTGTCTTTCCCATATAAGACCCTATATTCATGGTAATAATAGCACCAGCAGCAATGCCAATCATGTTGATATAGTTAAATCCCCTGATGTTTCATCATCTTTTACCACTTTGTATCACAGAAATGGTCCAAGCAAGGCAGACTTATTTCCAGGTGATGTTTATAGGCATTGTTAACCAAGACAGAGGGAGGGACACCCGGTATCTGGCAGCAAACCAGATTAAAACTACCTGCCATTTAAAGTTTGCAAATAAACTTCTGGGGAATAATAACAGCTATAATAATAATTATGTTGTTGTCAGTAGGATGGTACTCCAAGATACTTGTCATGCTGCCCAGAGCTTTTGTTTTCAAAGAGAGATTATCAGAATAATTGCCAATAGTTATTACAATTTACTTAAAAATTAGCCAGCTCCAGCCTCAGTGATTTCATCAACAGCTCCCTAGAATATATTTCTGTGCTTCACCTTGAAAAGACAGGTGTGATCCAAAGATTAAAACCATAGGATAAAATCACCTTCAGTCTTACCCATCCTAACTTGGGAACAATTGTTCAGGCTCAGCATTATCATGGAAATAAAAATCCCCGTACCACAAAAGAAAGGGTAAGTTGAGCTTTGATACACAGGCAGCCTTAGGAAAGACTCTAAATCTTAGAAGACATAAAAATCAAACAGAACTGAGGTGAGTTCGGTACAAGAACTGCTCAACTGAGAAGGTCAAGAAGGCAGGAAATGATGAGGAATCATGACTGGGAGCCAGTGACCCAAAATGAGATCAGCAGGAATGTGGCTGTGAAAATACAGTCCTGCAGGGATGAGTTCTTTTGAAAGGTCTTTACGCCTGACATTGGGGCTCTCAGTGTAACACTAGCAACCTGATATTGGACCCAGATCATAAATAGAAATGTCCCCTTGCATGTCTCTACTCCCTAATTAGTGCTTAATGGAATCGATTAGGTAATGAGTGCAGGTCATCAGGGAATCAAGGACCATGTTCCCTGACAGGGACACAGAAATATGCCTTATAACACTTGCTACTTCCTTCCAAGATAAACAGAGTTAACAATTTGATGTATGTTCCTCAAGACCTACTGTATTAATCTGTTTTCATGCTGTTAATAAAGACATACCCAAGACTGGACAATTTATAAAGGAAAGAGGTTTAATGGGCTCACAGTTCCACATGGCTGGGGAGGCCTCACAATCATGGTGGAAGATGAATGAAGAGAAAAGGTACATCTTAATTGGCAGCAGACAGGAGACAGCATGTGCAGGGGAACCATCAGATCTTGTGAGACTTATTCACTATCACAAGAACAGCACAAAAAACCTGCCCCCATGATTCAATCACCTCCCACTGGGTCCCTCCCATGACATGTGGGCATTATTACAATTCAAGGTGGGATTTGGGTGGGGACACAGAACCAAACCACATGATCTACAATGCAGTCTGAAATTTAAAAGCACTATCTAAGGCTCCAGCATTCCTAGGGTTCAATCTTGGCTCTGCCACTAACAGGGTGAGTTTGGTCAAATAACTCTATGTCCTGATTTCTTCATGTGTAATATGGGGTGATACTGCTCTGCTACTCTTTAGCAATTTTATGAAGATTTAATAAATGGATTAAACAATCCAAGTAAAGAAAGAGGAGGGGCTCGGTAAATTGTATAGACACAACGGCTATCTTCCCACATGAGAATATAGATGAGACCATTATTTTTAACCACTCTAGAATATTATATTTTATGGATGAAACATGGTTATTTAGCCAATCCCATATGTAAGCATATTATCATAACTTCCATTTTTTTCCTTTCAAACAATGCTAAAATAATCACTCTTGCACCCATTATCTTTATACCTTTACATAAATATTTTTGATTAATAAATTCTTTGAAGTGTAGTGCATTAAATATCTATCATCGAGTTGTCCTCTAAATATTCTTTGAATCTTGGTGGGTGAAGGGGGTTGTCTAGAAGGACCAAGACATGTTTGTGAAAGGAAGAACTCTCTTGAGGGGATAATTTTACAGAGGGTAGAAACAATGTATATAAAAGTGTGGAGGTATAAGAGAGTACAGGTGTCACCCTGTGTTTGAGTCCTAGAATGAGAAAGATGAGGCAAGGCGGGGTTGATCGGCAGGAAAGGGAGCAGAATACAATCTAAGCTGGCCGGGCGCAGTGGCTCATGCCTGTAATCCCAGCACTTTGGGAGGCCGAGGCGGGCGGATCACCTGAGGCCAGGAGTTCGAGACCAGCCTGGCCAACATGGTGAAACACCTTGTCTACTAAAAGTACAAAAAATTAGCCGGGCATGGTGGTGGGCGCCTGTAACCCCAGCTACTTGGGAGGCTGAGGCATGAGAATTGCTTGAACCCAGGAGGCAGAGGCTGCAGTGAGCCGAGCTCACGCCATTGCACTCCAGCCTAGGCAACAAGAGCAAAACTCCATCTCAAAAATAAATAAATAAATAAAATTTAATTTAAAAAAAGGAATCTAACCTGCACCCCATAGGTGCTGATGACTGATAAGCTCTTAAAATGTTCAGCCTTATCAAGTGATATGGCTTCAATATAAATAGTAACAGCTGTCTACTAAAGAAGGATTTTTCAAAGCCTGGAATACAAAATACCGACAGTATTAAAGAAGAGTGTTCACGGTAGTATGAGCACATGACGTTAAATATTAGATAATGTAAACATGTAATGTTTTTAGTAATCAGTCCAGTTAATATATTTATTGGTAATCTGTCTTTAACATCTATCTAAAACCTTCCAACCTCCCTTTAAACAACAACAGTCACAAAAGAGTAAGCATCAGGCTTAAGAGTCTTTCAGAAGCAGTAATTTCTTGCTTTGTTTTCTGTTCATTGTATGTATTTTAAAATGTATTTCACATTGTATTATATATTATATATACAATTGTATATAAGATGTTTGTTGTATGACATTTTACTTGTGATTGATAATGGTTTTTCACTTATGAGAGACATATGCATTTCCTTTATGAAAAAAATTTAAAATGTAAATTAATTTTAATAATGGAATTTTGGGAAATAACCAGCTAGCGTAAGAGGGAAAATGTAGGAAATTAACCTTGCCTAATTTCTCCAGGATCAGCCAATCCTAATCAATGCGACTTTGGTTTTAGCAGGAAAATCATTGAGTAGAACCAACTCTAGGCCTTGGTCTTGTTCAGGTGATTCTAGAAATTAAATCAACTTAAAGCACGAATGACTCGAGTTGGAGCATAGAGCTCACCGCAGGAAAGTGATTGCCCTCAAACCCTCTCCCATCAAAGTTCCCATGACCGTGACCACAGCAAAGAAGCCAGCCTGAGCTCTGGCCTTTTATTTAAAAATCCATTCCTGGAGTAGAAAGAAAATAACTGAAGATGTTTTGATTATTGGTATACCAAATCCTATTTGGGGATTGGTTTACTAGATTCAAAGAGTCACACCCAACCTCAATAAAAAGTTTTGTAAATCCATGCTTGCTAGCGTCCTTTGAAAAATAAACCCAAGAATAGTTTTATTCCAATACAGCACGCTCTCAGCACAAACATGTGGCAGATGCTAGAAACTTAGGAATCAAATCCAAATTGCAGACACACATGTTATTGTACTCCACAAGGGGGGGAGCAAACCCAGAATTGGCCTAATTTGAATATTTTTTTTTTCTGAATCCCGCAAATGAAACTACATATTTAGGAATTTTTTGCTCACATAGTATTTATAGTTATTTATGATTCCTTGAGATTTTGAAGCATTATAGCTTTGCACTAGGCTTTCCAACTTTTGTTTTTGTTTTCATTTCTCTTCTAAATGCCAAGTAGGCTGAAACCTATGCTGGAAAACCAGTGGGGATTAGATGTTTTTTAGGTCACAAGTTAGAAGATTCCTAATACTCACAGACATTCTACGTCTAGGAATGTTTGTTAATTTGAGCCCCTCTCTCTCCTTGTGTATCTTTAATCTCTCAACCAGCTGTCTCCCATAAAAAGATATTTCTGTTTTTAGTTACAAATCTGTTTACAGATAAAACTCACTCATAAATACACAACCACATGCAGAGGTTGCCTTTTTTTTTCTGCTGATAGTATAGAAATAACTCCAGATGAAAAATATTAAAGTTTGTTTAGAAATATAAAATGCATTCTGCCTTTCTCAGTGGGGGCCCATGTTTTATAGATGTTCAAGGTCTTTTTGTGTCCCTGTGTGAGCCTCTCTTGGGAAGCACAATCTTCTCTTACCTCTGTGATTTAGTTCTTTCTCAAACTGTCAAAATTGTTGGGTTCCTAATTGAGGAATTAACTCCTTGCAAAAGGCAGGTATTGGCCACCTAAGGAAAAGAGGTGAAGCCAAGAAATAGCTTCTCGTGCATCAGGATCAGTATGTTTACTGTTACTCGAATGACCGATTTAACTCCCCACTCTTATTTGCTTGTGGGTTGCTTACACTGGAAACCGTCAGGTAAGAGATTGTGTTTTCTTCTCTTGTCTTCTTCCATTTCTTTTAAGACCTAGTACTGTGTCTGACACATAGAATTCAGTCGATTTTCAAATATATTGTTTGCTGTTAATTGAATTAGTATAATCATGTTAGACAATAAATTATTCAGAAAAGAAAATATTTACACTTGGCTTCTTTCCCAGTTCTTTAGAGTTTAGGATGCCCTCTCTCCCTTGTATTCATCACCAATTAATTAGTCAAGAAGAGACCGTTCTAGTTCCTCCTTCCCTGGATTGGTTGTTGTATTCTGAGCAAACCTCTTATAACCATGCCTTGTTTTTCGTTGAAGCTCATTTTATAAAAGGTGATACAATGTATCATAATCGCCAGGTGTGGTGGCTCACACCTGTAATCCCAGCATTCTGGGAAGCTAAGGTGGGCGGATCACTTGAAATCAGGAGTTTGAGACTAGCCTGGGCAACATGGCAAAAACCCATCTCCTCTAAAAATAAAAAAGTTAGCTGGGCATGGTGGCAGGAGCCTGTAGTCCCAGCTACTTGGGAAACTGAGGCAGGAGAATTGCGTGAACCTGGGAGATGGAGGCTGCAGTGAGCCGAGATCGTGCAACTGCACTCCAGCCTGGGTGACAAGAGTGAGACTCCATTTCAAAGAGAAAACACTAACAACAACAACAACAACAAAAATGTAACATGATCCATCCAATGAACACTAGCAAATGAAGACCGATACTTTGTCAACCATGTAAAATAGCTACTCATTGCTCCATTTTATGGTTGAAAAAATCGAGGTTCCTAGAACACGAATTACTCAGATTCACCAGACAGACTCCAGTATTTGACTTCAAATCATCAAATATTCCATCACTTGAGACTGCATCCTCTAACAAGAAGAATAGAAGGAATAACTTCAAGTAAATACTTCTGTGTGTCAAACTCCATAGTTGTCATTTTATTTGTCTTCCCTTATTGTATCTCACTAAAATCTGAATAGATCGGTATTAGTAACCCCATTTTGGAGCTAGGGAAATGAAGAATGAGATAATTTTTGCAAATTGCCCAAGGACATAGGACTAGCTCATGGATCCATGTTGCAGAGATCTCACCATTTTGGGAAGTGAGTGTCTTTGTTTAAGTACTATTAAATAGCTCAAGCACACTGAGAAGCCAAGGTAGGAACTATTTAATTTAGCATACATTTTCATTATAGTATTCAAAGATGCAACATGCCCTGAAGCATTAACCCTGGTTTTCAAATATTTCTATGTAGAGCTTCATGCTGCAGGTTCAAATCACCAGCTCTCAGCTAAAAATATAGCTGCTGTTTGGTGACTAGAAGGCCACTTTGACAATAATTGTGGTTGCAAGAGGTCACACATTCTCCCTCTATCCCTATAAAGTCCTGTCTTCCAATATTCTAATCTTACTAACAATAAAACCAAGATCCTGGAGGAAAAGGCATTTGTTTAAAGTATCCCTCATGACCATTTATTCACCTGCCCAGATATACAAGTCAGAAAATTAAAAACCTGCTTTTCTATTTTTTCCCACAATCAATTGATTTTTTTTCCATAGGATTGCCTTCCTATGGGATTCCATTCTCAGTTTAATGATTACTCTCCATCCTCACTCTGATTTCTCTGTTTAAACATCGTATGTGTGCCTTGTGTATATATATATATACACACACACGCATAGGTTTTTGTATGTGTGTATATATATAGATATATACATACATACATATATTGTGTATATATATACACACAAACACATACACATATATATTTTTAAATTGTACGTGTATTATATAAGTATATATAGATTATATATATATATATATAATTTAAAAATCTGGACTACTATAACAACTTCTTAACTGGTGTTTTGTTTACTCCTGTCTATAATAACTTCTCTTCATCCTTCACAAAGGCTTCCAGAGTAAGAATGATTTCTTAAATATCATCTGATTGTTCCAGCACCTCCATGTCCATTTCACACATGGTGATTTCTTGTGTCTTAGGAGAGTAAGAAAAACTCTGGAGCAACAAGAGCCTTTTAATGTCATTCTCAACATCCTCACCTGACCTTATTCCCCATCACCACCCCTTATACTCCAAAGACTCCAGCTCTGCTGAATTTCCTAACACTTTCTACACAGCCCAGACCCTGTGGTTGCCTCTTTCACTTTGCACATTCCATTCCCTCTCCTGAATGAATGCCCTTTGAGGGTCAGAATCAGGTGGAAACTATGTCTCCCAATGCCCAGTGACTGCTGTTGGACTATGGTGCTCCAAGCAAAATTAAAAATGGAAGATTCTGTTAAAAAATGCTCTGAATGCTCATCAGAGTTGGGGGCAGCCCAAGACCATTTGCCATTTCCAGAGATAGATGCTGCAAGTGAAAAATGAGCTGACAAACTTAAAACTCTACAGAAACCACTGGGGAGAGGATCTGGCAGCTTAGCAAGCCAGGTTAATACCTGAATTACAAGGAGTTTGTGAGCACCCTCAGTTGCAGGACTCAGCTGTGAACAAAAGTCTCTGAGGTGGGCTTCAGGTGCCTGCCCTGCCACCACATGACTGTGAGCAACGGGCAACCTGGTTCTTTTAGACTCCATCAACCTCCAGGCTCTGGGGAATCACTTTTTTCCTATTTTAGTTTTTCAAAAGCATCCACTGGGTCTTTCCCAAGGCATAAAAGGGAACAAGAACAAAGGCCAGTAGCAATGCTTAGCTTGGCCTCAAGTCTACTTTGTTTCACAAATAAAAATTCCTGTTCTATCATTTTGTAGTAGTATGTCAAGCTTTGGCTTTCTCAAAATAATAGCTGATTAAAATCCTGAGCGATGAATGACAACAAAAACAGCATTTATTATATTTCATAAACTGAATACATCGCATACGTTGTTTTACTTATTCTTAATTTAAAAAAATAGGTAACATTTCCAGTTGAGGAAATGAGTGTTCAGATGGCTTACATAATTTAATCGAGTATATAGCTTGCCAGTTTATATAATTTACTCCAGGGTATACAGAGGCAGGATCTGAAGCCAGGTCACTGTGATCCATGCTCAGCCCACCTTCTCCCAACTATGTTAGTCTTTGTGCCTCCTCTGAAGCTTTCTGTAACAAATTTGGAACCTGAAAGATTTAAGCTAGGAGATAAGAGAGGCCAGAATATGAGTATTAACATTATCGTAGATGAAACCCTGGGCAACCCAGGGGGCCCTAGGCAGCTTGTCTGAGGTTCAGGTATCTCATCCAGGCTAGCTCTTAAAGCACATAGCTTCACTCTTTAATGGAACACACCCAAAATGCCCTTCGGTGACTTTCCAGCGAGTAAAATCTTAAGCACAGTGGGATGTCCAATGTCTTTTGAAGGTTTTGGCTGAGAGAGACAACATTCTTGGAATATGGCCTGGAGTATATTGAGTCCATCTATTCCTCTGAGGACTCTAAGTCAACTCTGGATTAAACCAGAGCATCAGCCATCAGCACTGTACCTGCAGATGATCACATTCTGTCCACCCATACCCACTACATTGTGCTCTGGAAGTCTTCTCCTGGCCTTTACTGGGAGCTGAGACAAGGTCAGGAGCCATGCCAAGAACCTGATTACTGGGTTTTCAGTTGGGATGCCATCAATGCATGTTTTGTTACTTTTGGCTGATGAGCATGTTTGAATCACATGAGACTCTCATTGCATTAAAAATCAGAGCTAGTTTTAATAATTCTGAATAATTAATTTTCTTGAAATTTATGGGTAATAGGAAGACTGAATCACATAGTTGATTCTTTATTTTCCTTTCTTCCTTTCTACCTTTCTTCTTTCTTTCCTTCCTTCCTTCCTTTCTTCTTTCCTTCCTTTCCTCTGTCCTTTCTTTCTTCCTTCCTTCATCCCTCCCTTTCTTTCTTTCCTTCTTTCTCTTTCTTTCTTTCTCTCTCTCTCTCTCTCCTTCCTTACTTCTTTCTTTTCTTTTCTTTCTCTTTCTCTTTCTTCCTCCTTTCTTTTCTTTCTTTGCCTGCCTGCCTTTTAAAATTGTGGCTAGAAACTTCCAGCTAAGTGTGAAATCCAACCTTAGCAAGTGTATGTGACCTTATTCCATTCAAAGTAAATGGGTTCCCTCTGCCCCAAGTCATGTTCTAGGACCTAAGGAAATCAATGAACAAAAACAAATATAGCTCTCACTTTCATGGTGCTTGGAGTCTAGGGGAGGAGAGGCACATTAACCCACATATTACACTCATGAATGTATAATAACCTATTGAGATAAGCACTGTAAAGGAAAGGAATATAGTCCAGGTTAAAACAAAGAGTCCTGATTTAAAGGAAGGGCTTCCCTGTGGAAATGGCACATGATTTAACTGGACAAATAGGGCATTGGAAATGGTGGGGCAGGGGTTGTATGTCATATGTTTCGTGGTGAGAGGGAACTGTAGGTTGGCAAAGGGCTTGTAGCAGAACAGAGTGTGGCTCATTGAGGAACCTGACAAAAGTCTCTGCAGTAAGAACTTGGAGGCTACAGAGTGAATGCTAGTAATTGGGCCTAAAGAAGATGGTGGAAGCCAGTACATGGTCTTCTTGTAAGTCTGGAGAAGCATTATCTTCTGAGGCCCCACCCCAGACCTACTGAGTCAAATCTTCTGCTGGAGGAGCTCAGCAATCTGAGTCTTTACAAGCAAGTTCTCTAACTGATCCTGGTGCCTGCCAAAGTTGGAGAGTCATGGCAGAGAGTGTTAGATAGAGAACAAGGTCCAGTGTGTCTGGGTGGAGTCAACATGGTGTGCAGTCAGCATCCTCAGACGACGACTAAGGCTGATAGAAGTTGGCAGATTGGAGAGGACTTGGGAGCCTCAGGAAGGCCTGTAGAGAGGAGGGTGAATAGTGATGTGGACTGATGTCTGGGTTCATTTTGTGTCTGTCCTTGTTTTCCCTTTGACTTGTCGTCTTTATCTACTTCCAATGTACGTTTATATACACATGTACATGGATAGATGTACATATTGAGTTATATTTAAATATTTCTTAAACCTGTTTTGGAGCAGGTAGGAGATATAGAAAGCACATGTATTTTTTATTTAATTTTTTTTTTAAATTTTTTTGAGAAGGATGCTCTGTCACCCAGGCTGAAGTGCAGTAGCGCCATCTCTGCTCACTGCAACCTCTGCCTCCCAGGTTCAAGCGATTCTCCTGTCTCAGCCTCCCGAGTAGCTCAGACTACAGGCCTATGCCACCTTGCCTGCCTAATTTTTGTACTTTCAGTAGAGATGATTTTTCGCCATGTTGGCCAGGCTGGTCTTGAACTCCTGACCTCAAGTGATCCACCCACCTCGGCCTTGCAAAGTCCTGGGATTATAGGCGTGAGCTCCAGTGCCCGGCCTACACTTTTTAATTAGCAAATGGAGATTATGCATTTGTGAATGCTCCTTACCTATCTGAGAATACTAGTACAGGCAGTGGTGCCACTTCAAGGGCAGGTTAGTAAGACAGCAGTCTCTTCTGCATAAAAACATTTGCAAAACTTTTCCCCTCTCCCAAATCCAAGCTGCATGACAATGGAACATGCTGTGGTCTTGCCAAACTAAATTCTTAAATAAAAGTAAATGGCATGAAACTACAATTTCGAAAATGGATTCTTTCCCAGTTTATTTCTGCTCTGGTTCATTTTTAATGCCGTGGGCTTTTTCTTTGTTTTTAACTAGAATTTATGATATACAATTTTTTTGGAATCTGGCAGGTTTTAGAAAATAAACAACCAATGGAGGAAAAGCAGATATCAAGGGATATTTGAAAATTAATTCAAAATGTTGCAAGTTCAGAGGAGGCAGGTCCTTCACGTTGGTTGTATTGAGGACACCTGTTCTAACCAACACCTTAGCCAATCTCTAGGTTTGTAATTTAGGTGACTTGTGGTATGCTTTGAGCATCATTCTATTTAAAACCCCTCCATCAATATTGATCCAGAGTTGAGAACAGCCATAGTTACAGACATAGAAAAGGGTGAGGCATAAAATCTTCTGAACATAGTGTAGTTTTAACTTGTTTTCAAAAATTTTTACTCAAGCAATGGCCTGGAAAATTTATTATTTCAGAAGGAAAGTCCTGAACTTAAAACCAAAGATCTGGTCCGGTGCGGTGGCTTACGCCTGTAATCCCAGCACTTTGTGAGGCTGAGGCGGGCAGATCACCTGAGGTCGGGAGTTCGAGACCAGCCTGACCAACGTGGAGAAAGCCTATCTCTACTAAAAATACAAAATTATCCGGGTGTGGTGGTGCATAACTATAATCCCAGATACTCAGGAGGCTGAGGCAGGAGAATTACTTGAACCCGGAGGCAGTGGTTGCGGTGAGCCGAGATCATGCCATCGGACTCCAGCCTGGGCAACAAAAGCGAAACTCCATCTCAAAAAAAAAAAAAAAAAAAAAAAAAAAAAGCCAAAAATCTGTTTTCAATATTGAGCTTTAAAACAGCCTGCATCACAATGTCATGAAAGTGGCCCTTTGGAACAACCTGGAAAGAACCTTAGAAAGAATTGATAGAGATTCCTCTCTATGATGCTTACCTGCATCCAAGTCATCCAGGGATATTTATTGAAGAAGTAATATCATGGACTCTTCCCAAACTTTCAGGATCAAAATTTTTGAAAATGGAGCCTCCACATGTACTTCATAAATTATTCTTCTATAACTTTATAGAAGTATTGATACAATTATAATAATTACCTGCTAATTCATTCACTCAACAATATTTATTAAGTGTCTGTTGTGTGCCTAAAAGTATAATTTGTGCTAGATTTATAGTCATATATAAGATAGACTTGGTTTCTGCCCTTATAGATTTTTCAATCTAGTCTTTTGCCATTTTCCTCCTCCTTTTCCAATTTCTAAATCCACATGTAGGTAAATTTGGTTTACCTGCTTTTCTTTAGCTTTATCATTCTGCATGTGCTAGTTAGAAGCTTAGGTTTAATGGAGTTTCTGGCATGTTAGAAATATAATCACATTATTCACAAAATCCCAACTGCTTGAGTCTATCAAATCCTTATTCATTCACACCTTAATTTGTTCACTTATTTATTTCACATTTTAACCCATTAATCTATCCATATGTATATCCATCCACCCATTTATCAGCGCTGGAGAAACCTTTATAATAAAATAATATACTTGATTAACTTCCAGTCAACTAAGTAAATGAAATAAAGTCTGTTTTCCTTATTGCGAGTTTATGCTGGATCTGTCTGAGTTGAATCTATGACTCTTAGATCTCATGTTACTTGACAACTCAATGATCATATCTCAGGGACAGAAATGCAAACTCCAACATGCCTGTTCATTTTGGCGAGAATATTGTCATGGGCTCCTGATTGGAGCATGCTGCTGAGAGCATCCGTTTCTAGGAAAACACAAGGTTTGCCTTCCATCCTCAGCGTGATTGACTTGCTCTTGCTTAATGATGATTCCACCATTCCAAACGACCCATACCCTGCCCAGCTCTACTAAGAATGTCAATTTCCTTGAAAACAAGGCTTAGGTTTTATTGCCACTTATGTCTCCTAACTCTTTCTGTTAATGATATTGGTCCTAATGAGGATTAAACGGTCTGACTCCTGGCAACGAGGACTGTAAGAACCTTAATGGTACCGCAGCCATTTCTTGCATGTCCTAGTGGCTAATGTTGCCATTTTTGTGACTGAGACATTTTTGCAAAAGGTGAAATGTGCAACGTGGGAGGCTTTACCGCAGCAAACTTCCCAATGAGAGAGAGGAAGAAAAAGAGCACGCAAACATACAGAGAACTTCTAGATTCATGACTTAATTCACAACGGTCAAGGTTGAAAGTAGAATAAGATAGGGCATGTGTTTCCCAGATAGCATGTGATTTTTGAAAGTTGCACATGAGACAGAAATGATAAATCAGACAATCCAGCTCACGTGAATCCAGGCAACGTGTTTTTTACTGCCAGACTATCCAAAGTAGGGTCCATGGTTCTGAAGAATTAGTATTAGCATCACCTCGGAACTTGTTGGAACGGCAGACTCTCAGGTCCCATCCCAGATACACTGAATTGAAATCTGCATACATTTTAATTAACAATAGCCACAGGTTTGTTTTATGTATGTAAATATGTGAGAAGCACTGCGCTTAGTATATACTACTGCTTCCTCCCCTCTGTCCTTCAAATGACCACATCGCTCATACTTATCCTTGGAAGTAAGTGGGGAAAAAAACCCTGTATATTGAATCTTTAAGAAGTACTCTACTATGAGGAAGATGTTTTATAGATAGAGATGCTCATGAAACACTTTAAATGAAGGAGGATATTTTGGTACCTCCAAACACAACATTTACTACCATTGTAATTATTTAAAGAAAGTGTTTTTCATAACAATGGTGCATATATTTCTAAATAATCAAAAATATATAAGAACATATAAAATAAAAGGTAAGTGTATATAAAATAAGTAGAGAAAAATACTTGAGGGAAATATGAAATGATTTTAGCTATTGTTCTTTTTTTACCATATACTTTTCATATTAGAACAGTTTTTAATTTACCAGTAATTTGTAAAGATAGTATTGAGCATTCTCATATACCCCACACCAAGCTTCCTCTAATATTAGCATCTTACATGAGTATGATACATTTGTTACAGTTAATAAAGCAATATTGATATATTATTATCAACTAAAATCCATACTTTATTCATATCTCCCTAGCTTTTACCTAATGTCTTTTATGGGTCCCAGGATCTTATAAAGTATACTATATTGAATCTAGTCATGGTTTCTGTTTAGGTTTCTTTGGCTGTGACAATTTCTCAGAATTATCTTGCTTTTGATGATCTTAATATTTTTGAAAATTACTGTTCAGGTGCTTTCTAAAATGTTTTTCAATTGAAAACTTTTTGATGTTTTTCTCATGGTTAACCTGGAGTTGTATGTTTTTTGGAGGAATACCACCAAGATAAAGTACCATTTTCATTACATCCTAGCAGGACTGCATATTCTCAGCTGGATGTGGTGGTGCATACCTGTAGTCCTGGCTACTCCGGAGGCTAAGGCAGGAAGATCTCTTGAGCCCAGGAGTTCAAGATTACACTGAGCTGTGTTTGTGCCACTGCACTCCAGCCTGAGGTGTAGAGCGAGACCGTGTCTCTAAAATTAAAAATAATAATAATAATTTCAATAACATAAAAAAGAGAATATGTTCTCAAGATAACTTATCACTGTTGATGTTAACTTTGGCCACCTGGCTGAGGTCATGTTTGTCAGGTTTTTCTACTATAAAGTTATTCTTTATTCCCTCTTTTTTTATACTGTTGTCTTTGGATGGCATCATGACTGCCTAGTCATGATGCACAGCCTATACTAAAGGAGCGGGAAGCTAAGCTCCATTTTCTTGAAGGGTGGAGTATCTACATAAATTACATAGAATTCTTCCCCATAGAAATTTGCCTGTTCCTCCACATTGATTTATTTATTCAAGGACTTATTTTTATCAGTATGGACTCATGAGTATTTACTTTATAGTCAGAGTTTTAATTCAATACTACTTTATTTTCTTGCTCAAATTGTTCCAGCCTTGGCCATTGGGAATTATTTCCATCGGCTCCTGAGTCCCTTTGACAAACTTTCATTATTTACTTACTTTTAGCACTTACTTTGTGGCCATACAACATGCTCATCCTGTATTCTATCCCAATCCTGGAATAATTTGTTTTCCTGATAAGCCCCATCTTTTTTACTGGAGGATAGTATTAGAAACAAAGTTAAGGACATTAGGTGTGTTTACTGCTACTGTTATGTCATTGCTTCTTGCTTCTAGGCCCTCTCAGCTGGCAGAGCCAGGAAATATATGTGTGTATACTAAAGCCATGGATATACATGTATGTCAAATATTTTTGTATATAACCATTTGTATCTATATTAAGCTAAATGTAATTTCTTACTATTTTCAACTGTAATCCACTACCACATGGATCATTTCAACCTCCTCTCCTTGCTTCTCTGTATCATCTCCTTGCTTCTCTGTAGTATTGGGAAACCTGGCAGCCACCATACACCACCATTTACTTAATTGTTCAATTCCAATACACATGTATAGTGGTATCAGAATTAATAACCCATTCCCCATGGAAAACTACTTTATTCACTAGAGAACAGTGCTTATGTACTGCTCCTTCTGCCTTTAGTCTTACAGACTTCACTCATTTTCAGAATTACTTAGGTCATTATCCTTTCCCTCCAACTCTTCAGTGAAGTTATTTCACATATTTATAAAATGGTTCAATTCTTTGATCATATTATTCATTCCATTTTGTGACCTCCTAAACCCATAAATAATTTTTTAAATTCCATATGTTCAGCCTCTCTCTGTGCTGTAAAGTTCTACTGGTTTTGACAAATGCATAGTGTCATATATTCTTCTTTACAGTATCATGAAGAAGGATTTCATCACCCTGAAACATCCCTTGTTTTTCACCTATTTGACCCTATCCCTCTCACTCAAACCCTTGGCAACAATTGATCTTTTTCCCATCTCTGCAGTATTTTTTAAATTTATTATTCTTAATTGATACATAATTTTTATACATATTGTGGTACATGCACTACTTCACTAAATGCATAGGATGCAAAATGATCAAGTCAGGGTATTTGAAATGTCCATCACTTTGAGTACTTATCATTTCTATGTGTTGAGAACAATTTAAGTCCTCTTGTCTAACTACTTTGAAATATGCAGTACACTGTTGTCACTCTATTTTGCTGTTGAACAATGAACTTTTACCTTTTACCCAACTGTGTTTGTGCCCATCAACCTATCTGTCTTCATACTTCCTCCCACCCACCCTTCTCAGCCACTAGTATCTATCATTCTACTCTCTATCTTTGTGAGATCAACTCTTTTTTTAGCTCCAACTTATGAGTGAGAACATGCAATATTATCTTTCTGTGCCTGGCTTATTTCACTTAACATACTGACCTCCAGTTCCATCCACGTTGCTTCAAATGATATTTCATTGTTTTTATGTCCAAATGGTGTCCCGTTGTGTATACATACCATATTTTCTTTATTCATTTGTCCACTAATGAACACTTAGTTTGATTCCATATCTTTGTTATTGTAAATAGTACTGCAATAAATATGCAAGTGCTGGTATCCCCTTAATATATTGATTTGTTTTCCTTTGGATAGATACCCAGTAGTGGGATTGCTTGTAGTTCTATTTTTATTTTTAAATCTCCACACTGTTTTCCACAGTGGTCATACTAATTTATATTCCCAACAACAGGATATAAGAATTCCCTCTTTCACATATCTTTGCCAGCATCTGTTGTTTCGTGTATTTTTAATAATAGGCATCCTAACTGGGATAAAATGACACCTCATTGTGTTTTTTATTTATATTTCCCTAATGATTAGGAATTTTGGGCATTTTTTCATAGCCCTGTTGGCCATTTCTATGTCTTATTTTGAGAATAATCTATTTATTTCCTTCGCCCACATTTTTTTATTTTTATTTGCTTTAAGTTCTGGGATACATGTGCTGAATGTGCAGGTTTGTTACATAGGTATACATGTGCCATGGTGGTTTGCTGCACCTATCAACCTGTCATCTAGGTTTTAAGCTCTGCATGCGTTAGGTATTTGTCTTAATGCTCTCTCTCCCCTTGCCCCTCACTCCCAGACAGGCCCCAGTGTGTGATGTTCTCCTCCCTGTTTCCATGTGTTCTCATTGTTCAGCTTCCACTTATGAGTGAGAACATGAGGTGTTTGGTTTTCTGTTCTTGTGTTAGCTTGCTGAGGATGATGGTTTCCAGCTTCATCCATGTCCCTGCAAAGGAAAAGAACTCGTTCTTTTTTATGGCTGCGTAGTATCCCATGGTGTATGTGGAATTTTTCTTTATTCAGTCTATCATTGATGGGCATTTGGGTTGGTTCCAAGTCTTTGCTATTGTAAATAGTGCTGCAATAAACATATGTGTGCATGTGTCTTTATAGTGGAATGATTTATAATCCTTTGGATATATACCAAGTAATGGGATTGCTGGATCAAATGGTATTTCTGGTTCTATATTCTTGAGGAATCGCCACACTGTCTTCCATAATGGTTGAACTAATTTACACTCCCACCAACAGTGTAAAAGCATTCCGATTTCTCTGCATCCTCTCCAGCATCTGTTGTTTCCAGACTTTTTAATGATTGCCATTCTAACTGGCATGAGGTGGTATCTCATTGTGGTTTTGATTTGCATGTCTCTAATGACCAGTGATGATGAGCTTTTTTTCATATGTCTGTTGGCTGCATAAATGTCTTCTTTTGAGAAATTCTGTTCATATCCTTCACCCACTTTTTGATGGGGTTGTTTGTTTTTTTCTTGAAAATTTGTTTAAGTTCCTTGTAGATTACAGCTTCTCTTGGCTTGGAAAGGGAGACTCCCTTGCCCGTGCCTTGGACTTCTTGGGTGAGGAGATGCCCCACCCTTCTTCTGCTCGCCCTCCGTGTGCTGCACCCACTGCCTAACCAGTCCCAGTGAAATGAACAGGGTACCTCAGTTGGAAATGCAGAAATCACCCGCCTTCTGCATTGGTCTGGCTGGGAGCTGAAGCCCAGAGCTGTTCCTATTCTGTCATCTTGCCAGCAGCCACTCACCCACTTCTTAACAGGATTTTTTTTTAATTGTTAAGTTAACTTCCTTGTATATTCCTGGTATTACTCCCATGTCAGATGAAAAGTTTGCAAATATTTTCTCCCATTCAACAAGTTGTCTCTTTACTCTGTTGATTATTTCCTGGGCTGTACAAAAGCTTTTAGGTTTAACCTAGTCCCATTTGTCTATTTTTATTTTAGTTGTCTGTGCTTTTGAGATCTTAGCCATAAAATCTTTACCTAGACCAATATCCTAAAATGTTTTCCCTATGTTTTCTTCTGGTATTAATAGTTTTATAATTTAATGTCTTGCATTTAAGTTTTTAATCCATTTTGAGTTGATTTTTATACATGGTGAGAGATAGGGGTCCATTTTCATTCTTCTACATATGAATATTTAATTTTCCAAGACCATTTATTAAAGATGATGTCCTTTCAATAATGTATATTCTTTGTGTCTTTGTCAATAATCAGTTGGCTGTGAGAAGTATTATGGTATAGTAGGAAAAGAATATCAGAATCAATCAGATCTGGTGATATATACATTGCAATGTCTTTTTCTGATCAAACGATCTTGCCCAAGTGAATTTCATCCCCCGTTTCCTCACCTATAAAATGGAACATAATAGCATCTCCTTCCCAGGATTGTTGGAAGGATCAAATGAGATGATGTTTAATGCACCTGGCCCAGTGTCTGGCCCCAACTGGACTCCCTATAGATGCCATCCCCTCTCCCTACTCAGCCCCAGGGTGCTTCGCTTGTATCTGTCTCACAGCGCTCACTGGATTTTCCCACTCTGAGAGTTAGTTGCTTACCTATTTGTTTTCCTCATGAGACTGCCTGCCCTCCAGGTCTAGGGAAGTGTGCTTTTCACTTCTTCCTCCCCACAGCCCTGAGCATGATACCTAGAATACAGTAGATGCCAATTAAGAGTAGTCAAGTGATGCTGAGGCCAGATGGGCCAGCTGTTTTCATTGGGTTCCAGACTTTCAGTATTTTAGTCTCTTGCCCTTTTCAATTTGTCAACATTTCAGCCTGAGGGGTTTCTGATTTACAAACTTCTCCTGAGTGCCAGGAACTGTGCATTATCCCATTTCATCCTTGTTTCCTCACCTGTAATTTGGGGCAGTAATAATGCCTGTTACCTAGGGTTCATGAACTCAAGGAGATGATGAACCCTAGAAGATAGGCATTATTACTGTTTCCAAATTACAGAAAGGAAACAAACTCAAATCATGCACATAAGATAGAAGTGGGCTGAAACCTGGCCAACTTAACCCCCAAGCCCAGTGGTCTTTACAGTGGGATGTTACCATTGAATAAAAGCTAACATTTTTAAAGTACCTACTTTTTGGCTGGCACTGCACTCAGGGGCATACATGCATTATCTCATCTGATCCGCTAGACTGCATGGTTCTAACAGGGCAGGAATCTTGTGTGTCTTATTCTCTGTTGTATGCTCAGTACCCAACACATTGCCAGACACAGAGCAGCTGCCAAGAAATATGTATGGAATGAATGAAACATTATACATCATCCCTCGGAGACAGATACTGTTATTATCTCCATTTTACATCAATTAGATAAACAACTGGAAACTGAGAGTGGTTAGAAACTTAACCATGGCCACACTGTTAGTAAATAGGAGACCTAGTATTTTAAATGAAGTCTGTTTGACCAAGTACTTAACCTGTCTGTCATCCTGCCTAAGGAAAGACAGGTAAATATTTATGAACAAAAAGAAAGAGAAAAAAAAGTGGCATTATCATTCTTCCATTAGCTCTGTGTATGGTTACGAATTCTTCAGCAGGCTAAAGAAATAATGGGTCATAAAACACTTCTCAGCCATTGCCCCTCACCTTCCTTTGTTTGTATATTGCTACTTTCAAAATCATTAAGCCTGTCACTGTTCGTGGGGTAATTCTGAGCATATGACAATTGCCTCTGAGTCACAGGCTGTACCCCTACAGCTTAAATATAACAATGGTAGGTTCTTTTCAAAGGGTACATTTTCCCTCACAGCTGCCAGCTCTGCTTTCTATACAAACTAAAAATAATGATCTTTCCATTATGGGAGCACTAGTATTGTTGCTTTCGCTCTTAGCTTATATTAGTGCTTAAATTATACATTCTTGGTCTCCAGGGATTTAAACTTGGCTGGGAAACTTTTCCTGAGGCCAAATAGTGGTGTTAGCTGGTGCTCTAGCATGAGGTTTCTACTGCAGTCTCCTGTAGAGCCTGGGGCGGAATTATAGTACCCGAAATGGCTTCAGTTATGATTGTTGGCCAGCTATAAAAGGTCACTGATGGAGTCTTTGTAGTCAGCTCCAGCACTTTATAATGGTGGACCCGCTCTTTTTTCTCTGTCTGTCCTACTCATTAAAGCAAAGCACAAAGTGACCTCTCCTCACTTGCCAAGGCTGCAAAAGAAATCTGTATTCAAGTGTTTGCATATAGGACTTATCTTTAAAGGTGGTAAATACCCTGGTGCTTTTTTCAGAAGCATGAGAGCAACCTTGTTCTAGTACAGTCTGACTCATGGTGGGCACCTGGACCATTGTCCTTAGATGAGCACGCCAGTCTCCAAGGCAATGGGTTGTGAAGTGAGTGGAAAGAGAAGTGGAAATTGAGTTGAAGGTAGTGGAGCAGTGGAGAGGGGAGGAGAAATTTATTTTGATAACTTGGAAAGTTGTCTCCAAATGATCTTGTCACATAACTCTCAAGTCTTGTAACCTGAGTGCTAATAATAAGTAATAGTGTTCTTTTTCTCCTGGAAATATTACGGTGACAAATAATGAATTTATTTTTCTTGTTTTCTTCTTTATTTTTACTTAAACATGTGCATTTGCTGTTGCTGATCTACTGGTAAGTTTTATGGTGTTGCCACTCATTTAAGAAAAGGCTGCCTAATATTTTGTCAGTGGCAGGGCTTACCAGTCAGCACATATGAATCTTGACTTTGATGGTCAGTTAAGGTCCACTTAGCATAACTCCCTGTCTATGATAATCTCTGGAGGAACTCTTTAATTTAAGACTTCATAGAGACAATAGGATTAACTGAAAATGATTGAATTGCACTCTGGAATGAGGATCAGACATAATTTAATATACTTAACTGAGGCATAATTCCATACAACACTCTATAGAAGGCATCCTGAGGGTTTCTAATACTAATTTCTAACTCCTCTTCACCAGAGAATTCATTCAACAGTTGTCTGGAAATTGATCTTCTCAGCTTGCCCATCTACTGAAAATTCCCTTCTGTATGTTCCAGGTAGATTTCAGCCCATGTTAGTTGGTGCTGCTAGGGTTGACTTTTTCAATCAACTCTTGTGTTTAAGCCCTGTGCAAGGCTCATTTAACATACCTTCTTGGCAATTATACTGCTAAGGAGTCTTGTTTCCATCCAGTATGCTTTGCAGATGACTGCCATCATCCAGTCATCTTAGGGAAAGTCTGTTCTCTCTTCTTTGAGTCTTGAGTATTTATTTTTCAAATACAGAAATGTGGATTCAGGACCCTGGGCTCTTCCAGAGGTGTTTCCAAAACTTTGACTTAAGCTAGAATTTTAAGATTGGGTCCAAGCTGAAAATGAATCTTCCATTAGACACATATATAGACATGACACTTCATTTGACATTTAAATAACTCTTCCAACTGCCACCTCTCAAGATATTCTTGTTTAAATGTTCCACAACCCATTGTTCTACAGGCCCTGTAAAAACTACCAAAAATGCTCATTAAAGAAGCAAATATTAACATAAAGATTCAAAAGCTGTTAATGAGGCTTACTCTAGCAGTTTTTTTCCTCTTTTTAATAAATGTGTGTGCTTATATTAATTTTTCAGGCAAAGAGTACAGTTGGGTTTTCTGCTGAGAATATTCTTAGCTTATGTGAGAATGTAACCATCATAATATGTCTCAATGTTCTGCAAAGACTGACGTGAGTTCTAGGTTTTCTATCTCTAGAACAGGTTTGAGAATCATAGATTTACAGATTTATGTTCTATTTTATAAGACTAAGAATGACAAAATCTGAATTCTGCTCCTGGATATCCTGTTACTTATCATAAGATGTTATATGAAACCTTTGTTCTCCCCTAACCTTAGTCTCCTAATTTATAGTTAGAAAGTGGAAATTGGAAGATTCCCTAAGGGATCATCTTAATTTTTCCAGCCATGGTTCTATAATATAAGCTGCTACTTCTATTCTCAGCACCACTCCTATTATTACTATTATTACTATTAATATTACCACTGCTGCTACCCTTATTGGTGTTACTACTACTGATAATGCTGCTACTGGTACTACTTACTCTTGCTGCTATTACTACTTTTGCTACCACAAACATCATTATAACTATCTCAAATTTGCATAGGTTTCATTTACAAAGACTCATCCTATCTATTTTCTGGTTTAAAACTACAAATCAGATATGGCATGAGTCCTGGGGGAGGAGGTGACCAGTTTCATAGATAAAAGACCATTTTCTTATCTGCAACATTTTTTTTCCTCAATCAGCCACCACCTCAATGAAACGTTCCTTTAACTGAGCCAACTTCTATATTCTTACAGCTTTATTAATCCTAACTAAAAATAAAGTTAATTTGATTCTGTTAGATTTATGTATGTCCAACAGTGAGAGAATTGATTCAGTCTCAATGACTACGGCTACTCCACAAAATATCACATTATTTTTACATTTTATTGTTGTCTTACTGATATGGTTTGGCTGTGTCCCCACTCAAATCTCATCTTTAATTGTAGCCCTCATAATTCCCTTGTGTCATGGGAGGGACCCAGTGGGAGGTAATTGAATCATGAGGGCAGGTCTTTCCTGTGCTGTTCTCATGATAGTGAATAAGTCTCATGAGATCTGATGGTTTTATAAAGGGGAGTTCCCATGCACACGATCTCTTGTTTGCTACCATGTAAGACACGACTTTGCTCCTCCTTCACCTTCCGCCGTGATTGTGAGGCCTCGACAGTGATGTGTAACTGCGAGTCCATTAAACCTTTTTCTTAATAAATTATGCAGTCTTGGGTATGTCTTTATTAGCAGTGTGAGAACAGACTAACACACTTAACAAATGCAAATATTCTTACCTGGAAATTGTGATATTTGATTATCTTCTCTGAGGGACAGATAGAGTTGATGCTGTTTGCTCTCTTGATTATTAATGACAACCTTCCCATGAGTCCCCCAGTTATCAGAGATGAATGACAAGTCTAGCAGCCAGTTTTCTGTGTTACTCTGTTTCCCCACAGTAGCTTATGCCCCAGTGTCATGAAGTAGTAAAATGACTCCCGTTTATGGTGAGACTCAAATTTATAGTAATCAAAAGTCTGCTGCATAAGAGGTATATTATTTAGGATCATATGATAATTTATCACTCTAGTAGGTTTTTAAAAATTTTAGCCATAGTACTTCTGAAAACTATATAAAAGCATCCACAACAATAATTAAACATATCTTTGGTTTTGGCATGGGGATGCTTTGGCTCATAGAGTCTCAGGCCTATTTATCAGCTTCATGGATGCCAATTGACAACATGGAAGCAGTCCACGTAGTACCAGAACCCTGGCTCAAAGGAATGCGCTATTCTGAAGTCCAAAATCTTTTGTCCCAAATGCAAGATTTGCATAACATTTCTCTGATTTGGGCTGTCTTCCAATACATAGAAATTCCTATTTTGTGCCAAGAAGTTGGACGATTTCTGAGATGAGCAGAAAAGGCACAGCTTCCATTCATAATTTGGAGACCTTCGTCCTCAGTGATCTTATTTTCCTATTGTGGAGTAATTAATCCACAGAGTCTTGTGACTCATAGTGCAAGCCCTGACCTGTTAGCACTGAAATACTTTCAGATAAATTCAGGCCTTCCTGATACCTTGACCCCAAGGACAATGCTTGATCCCTATTGTTCTGTGAGCTTCCAACTGGTTAGCATCCATTGAACAAATGACTATTTCCGTTGTATAATTCCTACCTCTCAAACTGGGCAAAGGGAAACCAAACTATTCTAAGAGAAAAGTAATGATCACTGGTGGTCCTTTTACCAATCAGGAAATTGAAGAAATAAAACAGTTATACCAGATCCCACCCTGAATGTCAATGGGAGAAAGAAATACTGGTCCCCATACATTAGTCTGTGACCTTGCCTCAGACAGGTGAGAGCCCAATGTAGTTTGTACTAATTTCACTAAATGCTCCCCCTTGATAAGTCTGCCTCCACAAACATCATCTATGCCACAGAATCACAGCAAGAAGTAAATAAGAATTTCCAGCTGCTGTGATGTCACATAGGAAATGCCGGAAAAGTAACCGATCCATTGCACAATCACCACAATTCAGGTCTGACTGAACACTTACCACTACACATGGGAATATCACTCCTTTCATTTTCTCTCTCTCTCTCTTTTTTTTTTTTTTTTTTTTTTTGAGACAGAGTTTCACTCTGTCGCCCAGCCTGGAATGCAGTGGTGCGATCTCGGCTCACTGCAACCTCTGCCTCCTGGGTTCAAGCCATTCTCTTGCCTCAGCCTCCCAAGTAGCTGGGATTACAGGCATGTGCCACCACGCCCAGCTAATTTTTGTATTTTTAGTACGGATGTGGTTTCACCATGTTGGCCAGACTGGTCTCAAACTCCTGACCTCAGGTGATCCGCCTGCCTCGGCCTCCCAAACTGCTGGGATTACAGGCATGAGCCACCGTGCCCAGCCTTCACTTTTTCTCTTGAGGAAAGGCAACGTGGTTCTGAACTGGCATTTGGCCCCTTGGGTTTTGTAATTTGTGCCCAAAGGAAGGTAGGGCAAGAAACCTTTGGTGATGGCCTGTGGTGGGTTGGAGAGGGGAGTAGAGAGTGAAAGACAGTAAAATGAAACCACCCAGCAGCTGTGACGGAGCTCCGATTCTGGCAGGCTGTGAAGAGTTTGACAGAGCTTTTCAGACATGAAACATTTGAACTTTACGTGAACACCCGGAGTTTTCTCTGTTCAATATGTCACAGGGAGAAATCTCAAGACACACTGTTTCTTTGCACGTTAGCTCAACACTACAATCACATAAGCTTGACGCAGTTCCATGGTGAACTCCAGGATCCCGCCTGTGAAGATGAGATCAAGACTCTGATAGGATTATGTGGTTAGACGTCCCCCAAGACAGTACAGTATGCTAACAGCAGATTTAGTTTTGGAGAAAGGAAATAGAGACTCCAAGCTCAGGGCTTCTGGTTCAGAGTTTTTCTGCTTGGTGCCCAACAAAAAAGTCTTGCTCTTTTTCAATAAGCTCTTCATCCTTCTCCAACTAGTGGGCACTGCGCTCCTGGCTCGTTTTTTTGTGCTTTCCTTATCGCATTTAATGATTGCAAGAATCACTTTCTCTCATATATTTCTCACCCTTTTTAAAAATATCAGGTAACAATATTGAGATTCTAGAGTTCCTAAAATCTTTAGACTCAAATTTGGAGATAACAGCGTACAAACTAGTACAAAAGCAGATATGCAAACAATAATTAGGTAAAAAGGGAACTGGCTACGAATTGCGCAGACAGAAACTGTGTGTGTGCTTTTCTACATGTGTGTAACTTACCTGATCATAGTCAAATCACAGTGTAAGCGTCAAAGTGACTACATCTAAAATACAATTTTTGAATCTCCCTCCCCAAATTCTTCAGCTAAGTAACACACATACTACAAGATCTCACTTACACACAGAATCTAAAAATATAGACTTTATAGAAGCCGAGTAGAAGGGTGCTTACCAGGGGAGTGGGGAGATGTTGGATAAAGGGTACAGTGCTTCCATTAGTCAGTTAGATGGGAAGAAATGTTCTGGAGATCTCTCTTACATCATGGTGACTATAATTAAGAATAATATATTGTATACTTGAACATTGCTAAGAGAGTAGCTTTTAAATGTTCTCATCCCCAAAATGATAACCATGTGAGTCATAGATATGCTAATTAGTATGATTTAATGATTCCACAGTGTGAGTCATTCTTGAGTCCTCTATTCCATCCTCTTGTGGGCCAGCCCTGTAAGCTCTGCTTCCCAAAATATATCCCATTTTTGTCTGTCCATACCTTCTACCACCTTATTCCAAGCCATCACCATCTCACGTGGACTGCTACAATAGTTGCCTAACTAGTCTCCTGTCCATTCTTGCCTCCCTGCAGTCGACTCTGCTAACAACTGGCTTCTCCGAGAACTTCCTTAATTCTACTCTAAACAGCGCCTAATCATGCTCTAATTCCCTGCCCTACTTGATTGGTTTTCTTTGCCCTCACTATCACCTGGTGCTATGCTACTCATTTGCTTACTTATTTATTATCCATCCACTAGAATGAAGGTCCCTTGAAGGCAAGATTTATCTTTCTTGTTCAAGATTGTATCCCTAGAGTTTGCAATTAGTAGTGGCACATAATAGGGAATGAGCAAGTATTTAACAAACAATAAATGAATGAATATAAGTATTTTTGTATGGTGGCCACACAGATGATTTAAATATTTTATCACTATCCTTGCCTATTTTATGATACATTCGATATTTACATCTGCATTTTAGAAATGGTATTATTAATTTTGATAATTAAAAATAAACTTGGCCGTAGCAGCCTTTTGCTGGTTGGAATGGGAGCTTTGCTCTTTAGCTGGCACAGATACATTTTATGAAGCCACATGAGCTTCTTTTCAAGGCCACGTTATTTTGGGAAAACTGCAAGTCCATGTTGAAATCTGAATCTTTTCACATTTGAAAGGATAAAAATTATTGATAACTTACTAGCTTGTAACTAATATTTCCACATTCTAAATATAACATTTACATGCTTTCCCCTTATTTGTGACTGGGAGATGAAGACAAAAACTTAACGAACTCGTTAGGAGACAAAGCTCTAAGATCATCTAATAGAAAAAGTCAACGTCTCTTCATCTCCCTGGCCTTAGTTTCCTCATGTGTATATTGGGGCCTCTGTAGCCCATGCTTTCAGGAAATATCTGTTTATATACGTTATTTTCATATGAGGTTTTCTTTGAAGGAATGTTTACCTAATTCTCATCAATGTCTATTTCAGAACGGTTCATTTCTGCCCACAGCTCCTCAAACAAATAGATTGACAAAAAAATAAAAGAGATGCCAAAAACAAAATCAAACAGAAACCATTTCACTGATCAAGATGGTACCTCAGGTTTCTCCTAGTCCACGTCTCTGCCTCTCAGGAAGTGCTGCATGAGGGCAAGGAACTGCAGGTTGTGAGGTTGCCAGAGACCTCTGTAGAGAGTAGACCGCATCCAAAGTTGGTGCTCACGGAAGTCTTGTTAAGGTAACATGGTTGTTCTGTGTCCTGAGCATCCCTTTCTCTGCCAGATGGATGGGCCTATGCAACAGGAAAAATGAAGAGCTCAGAGAGGCTCATGAGAAATTTTTTAAATGGATGTCAAAACTGTTGGAATGGATGAGGTGGTACATGGAAATGAAGAGGTGAAGGACGGAATTGTAGAATACCGTACATGTAAAGGACGGTGGGAAAAGCTAGGGCTGGAAACAGAAGGAAAAGACTAAAGAGAATAAAATTTGAGTATTTCCACTCTGCCATCCAGACCACTGTAATGTCCGCTTGGTTTTTCTTCACCTTTCTTGCGCCACATCCTCTTGGGTTCTCCCTATTTTTTTCTCTGTCACTTTCTTCCCTTTCACTGATAGCAATGACTCATATTTTAACCTTGCTGTCCTTTGGCAAACACTGCTCATGAATCCTAGCATTATAGACAGAATCCCTTTTATAAGAACCATCATATGCTCTTATAACTTTCTCAGATGAAATACACCTCCTAAATCAGTGTTTCTCCATGGGTAGGCTGCAGTCTACCTGGGAGAGCATCACCTGGGATGTTTGTTAATATGCAGAGCTCTGGGCTCCACCTCAGATCTACTGAGTCAGAATTTCTTGGGCCAGTCCCTTCCCTATTTAAAAATGTTCCCCAGGTGATTCTCATGGCCCTTGTATATTGCTGCTTTCCAAGCCATGGGCATCGTCCTAGGTAATGGGCATTGTTCAAGGTCTCCTTGAAGTTCTTGACTTGGAGATGGGGGAAGGAAGAGAGAAAACAACCATTTATCTGTGTGTGTGAGAATCACAGGTGATATAATTAGATAACAAATAAATTCATTGGAGACTTCAGATTCAGTTCATTAATTGCAAGATAATAATCACTACCATGTGTGAGCTTCTAAGACTGAGACTTAGATTACCTTTTCTTTGTTTTCTCAGCTTGTGGCAGAGTGCCTGGCACAGCAGGCAATCAACCAGACTGTGTCCAGTAGAGACAAAACCAAATTCTTGCTTTATCATCTCTTACAAATGTAATCTTGAATGCTATCAATGGTGAAAAAATAAAATAAGAGTCAATAAGACAATTCTTAATAGATACAAAAGACATCAAATTACCTGGAATTTCCTGATGATACTGATGTCAATGGCAATAATTTAATCTAACATTCATTAGATGCTAATAGCCAATTTCAAATTCGCTATTTTTTTTATTTGGTAACTATTCATTGAGTGCCTACTACATGCCAGGAAATGTTCTGGGCATTTGGGATAAATTTTTGGAGAAAGCAAATGTACCTTTGTAGATTTCTTATTCTATACAATGGTGGAGAAATAAAGCATAAAAATAATAAGTGCATTGTGCAGTATGTTAGAATGTGATAAGATCTGTAGTAGAAAATTATTTACAATGAGCAAGGTGAAATGTGTCAAATTGCAGCAGGAGGTGGGCTGCAGTATTAAATAAGGAGGTGATTATCTTATTTTGTATTCACCAAATAATGTGGGCATCATCATTATTTTAGTTTTTAAGAGTAATGAACTGAATTTTACACATATGTGGGTTACGCCATGATTACACTCCTTGTAAGAGTTGAAGCTGGATTCAAATCCAAGTAATCTGGCTCCAGAGAGTACACTTTTGAAAATTCCAATTTATATATTCTGTCCCATTGGCAAATGATGTATATACCATTTACATTTAGGAAAATATGGTAACTACAGCACCGGGTCAGCTGCAGTGGTCTTCTAAGGGCTCCAGGGCAGAAGTAAGCAATTCCAACTTTCATAATCCCAGGCTTAATTACCCAATGGGCAGCGGGAGCCCTCAGTCACCCACAGAGCTGGCTGTACAAACAAGACTCATGATTCTAATAAAGAATCAATAATGGAAAGGCCATTGCATATTTTCTCACTTGCTGGATGGGGAGGGACTCACTGTGGTTATCACACAAGAGTAAAAGAGAAGGGAACACAAAGAGGGTCACATGTTTATTTTTAGTTTCTATTAATAATTTTTGCTGAGCCATTGAGTTTGAGGAGACTTTTTACAAACTTGCAGTATAATTATTTTCTAATTGCTAGAAATGTGTAGACATCTGAGTGCAATATTCTTGTATTTTTTAATTGTAAAATTATTGAACATTGCTTAACACACTCTGACACCTTTGTTATTACCTGAGAGAAATAAAATGGTGTTTGGACCATGGGTAGTGTATGTGAAAGGAGACCTCAGAGATGGCCTTGCCCAAATTCCTTATTTTAGAGAGAATGAAATTTAGAAGCTGTAAGAAGGAAAGTGTCTTACTTGAAACCCCTCAGAGTGTCAAAGAGGTATCATATTTTAAAATCATAAATTATTAGCATTGGGAATCATCTATTTTTTTGCTGCCATTCTCTAGATAAGGAAAATTAATCCTAATACAAGTTGATTAGCTTTTTCATTGGAGTCTTCCGCTCTCTAACACATCCTCTTTACAAACCACTGATTTTCTTTAATGCAAATATACAGATTTTATTCACTTACAATACTTCAATGATTCTCTACCATCGTCAGAATAAAGCTGAATTTTGTTACTATGCACAAAAGGTTCTCCAGTATTTATCCTTTAACCGTGTTTGCAGGTGTATCTCTTAATGGTCTCCTATTGTACTGATTCTACCACCATACACGCTGTACTCTGCTCAATGCTCTCTCCTCACTTAATCTTGGTATTCTCTATTTACAGGTTTTGTTTTAGGTAGCATATCATCCAAGTTTCTCCTTCTGCCCACTCACTTTTCTGGATAAACTTTTTTTGTTTTTGTTTTTCTGAGCATGACTCTTTTAGTTATTATGTACCACTTAATATTTTGTTTATATTTGTCTTTCTCATCACTGGGAGTCCATTTAGAGCAGGCATTGTGATTTTACCCACTGCTGTATCTCTACCCTTTGGTAGCACCATGCCTTGCACATGGATAGCCTGCTACAAATACTTATTGAAAAAAATAAATGAGTAAAATAGATGAGTAAATAAATAACTTGTGGATTGATAAAGTTTAAGGATTTCCAATAAGATTTTTAAAAATATGTTTCAAGAAGAAAACAAAAAAAGTAAAAACAAAATTTTGGCTTCTTATTGAGAAGTCTCAAGTAAAAAATATACATGTAGAATTTCATAATGTAGATTGAAATTATAGATGATAAATTTAAAAATATTTTATGAAGACATTTGTTGTTGTTATCTAAGCCTTAGTTTCTCCCTGTGTAAATCTTGGTGCAATAGCAGCCAACCATTCCATATAGTTGTGGAAAAAATTATTGAAATTAAGCAAATTAAATTCTGAATTCTTTATTCATTTCTTTAAGAGGGTAATTGAACTTATACTAAATTTGGCAATATGCTCCAGGGAGGGATAAACAAATGAATCAGATAAAAGGATTTTATATTCCAGGAAGAGAGATAAGAAGCACCATGAATTAGTTTATATCCACAATTACTATACCTGATGTCCAAATTGACATGCAAAGGGCCAGGGGAGTTCAGAAGAGGTAAAAGAGTATTTATATTTGGGTATGCTGGAAAAACTTTATGAAAAGGGATCATTTGAGTGAAAACTTGCAGAATTTTGACAGGAATTTTAGAGATATGTTAATAGTAGAAATCCTCAAAGCTATCTTGGATTTTTCTTGAAATAATAATACCATGAACTTTTCTTGGGGCTAGTCTTACTACTTTGCCATTGAAATATTTGGACTTCATGATCTCGGGAGTAATAACATTAGTATTATGTAACCTAGGTTGTTAGTCTCCCAGTGATTGTTTTAGAATAAAGGAGGTCACCAAGTGCTAGCAAGGTAAATATGATTTATGTGGCAAAACCCAGAGAGAAATTACAGTTAATAAAATCATTGAATATAGACTTTATTTATTCAATAGATATTTACTAAGGTCCTACTATGGGGTAGGGTTATGTTATTTGCCAAAGACAGAGAGATAAAAGTGCATCACCTATGTTCTCAAGAACCTGAAGTCTAATGAGGAGTCAGTCATGAAAACAAACAATAATAAGACCATAGCATAATTATTTTTCTAAGAATATGCATGACTGTGAGCATCACAGGGGGCTCCCCAGAGAAGGCATTAGTTGAGCTGATGCTTGAAAGATGGGTCGGAGTTTGCCAGATATTCTGAAGCAGAAGTAGTCAGAGACAACATATGTTAATAGGCACAGGAACGAGGAGAACATAGCTTGTTGTTGGACTGAGTATTTTTTTTAAGTTTCAAATGATCTCTTTTGTTTGCTTATTGGCAACACCACTTTTTCTTTTCCTTTTATAGTGATTGTTTTAGTATTTATGGTAGTATTTTACCTTACAAAAGTATTCTTCCCTTTACCCTTTCTTGCCTTTGTGTCATTGTCATATATTCTACTTCTATATATTTATAAACCATGTAATAATTTCTTTTAGTTTTGCTTTCAAAGGTCAAGTGTCTTAAAAATGGATTTCTAAAAATTAAAAAAAAAACTTTTATTATATACTTATTTGTTAGCCATTACTGGGCTCTTTCATTCCTTGTGTAGATTCCCATTTCCGTCTGGTTTCATATTGCTTCTGTTTGAAACAATTACTTTAACATTTCATGTAGAACAGATCCATTGTTGATGGGTTATTTCAGATTTGGTGTATCTAAAAGAGTCTTTGTTTTTTTTTTGTTCTTCATTTTTCAAAGGTACATTCACTGGGTGTAACATTCTTGGTTGTCACTCCCTCATATTCACTACCACAAGTAATTTGGCAATGTTGTGCCACTGTCTTCTAGCTTGCACTAAAAGATAAAGTTGAGAAAAAAGTTGAATTTAGTTCACTATGCACAAAAGCTTCTCCAGTATTTATCCTTTACCCATGTTCCTGATCTTTGCCTTATTCTTATCTTTGTTCCTCTGGATGTACACTGTTTTCTATTGCTCTCTGGATGTTTTAAGATTTTTTTTTATTTTTAAGCAATTTGATTGCATTAGTGTAATGTTCTTCATTAGTGTAATGATGTGCAGTAGTATAATGTTCTTCATAATTATTATTCATTATTTGTTGAGCTTCTTAAATATGTAGTTGGATAATATTTACCAAATTTGAAAAAATATATATATTTAGCTATTATTTCTTCAAATAGGACCCTTCCCGCTTTTCAGGGACTCCAATTACTTGTATATTATACAACTTAATGCTTTCCCACAGATCTCTTTTTGTTGGTGGTGGTGTTTCAGTGTTATTTTCCCCTTTGCATTCTATTTTGGATAGTATTTATTGCTATCTTCAATTTTACTGGTCTCTTCTTCAGTATCTAATCTGCTGTTAATCCTACTTGGCATATTTTTAATCTTAAATACTATTTTTTTCCCAGTAGATGCTCAATTTGGGTCTTCTATCTTCCACATATTTTCTTAATATGTTCATACTTTACTTCTTGAGCATATAAAATATTTCAATTCTTTTCATGTATGATAATTTTTTATTGGAAAAAAAGGATATTGTAAAATTCACCTTGTTAAGTTGGATATTTTTGTATTCCCTAAAATATACCAAAGCTTTTTTTCCAGGATGCAGATAATTTAGTTGAAAACAGTTTCATCCTTTCTCAACTTTTTTTTTTTTTCATTGTTTCTCAGCTTTCTGTGGCAAGTTTGAAGCAGCCTTTAGGCTAGGGCTAATTTTACCAAACTATTGAGGCAATATTCTTTCTGTGTTATCTGACGCACTATGTATTCTCAAAGGTTTATTTATTTATGTACTAATTTATTTTCACTCTTGTTCATGGAAGCACAAACTGTTTCCAGCCCTGTGTGAGCACCAGGGATTGTTTGAATTATTCCTTCAGGTGGTTCTTTCCCCAGGTTCTTTACATGTATGTATTGATCAGTACTCAGATGGCGACCTTCTGCATGTCTCCGCAGCTCTCTTTTTGTACAGATCTCTCCTCATTCTATGTCCATCTTCTTTCTCATCGCTGTGAATTCTAATCATCTTTTCCCCCTACACTAAACTCTCAACTCCATCTTCTCCATTTAGGGAGGTCAAGAGTCCATTTGGGCTCCCACTCTCTTCACTGTGTCCTGGAAACCCCCCAGGCAGTTAGTTCCAAGTAATTGTAGGGCTTGCCTCATTTGCTTTACTTTTTTCATAAATAACTTATTTGAGCTGTCTTTGTCCAATGTCTGAAAACCATTGTTTAATATATTTTGTCTTGTTGTTTAACTAACAGTATGCTGGAAGCACAAGTTATCTTTGATGTGTTACTGGAATTCATGTAGATCAGGATTCCTTACTAGAAAAATTAAAAGAGTAGAGAAACAAAAGTTAAGTACGGATGGCTGAACAGAAGTCATATAGCAAGCACCTTTTTATCACAATGATAACTAGGAAGTTTTCATGAGTTGTGCATAGATTTGTAATTAAGAAACATTGCCTAGTGATATAGTCAAGCCTAGATTGAGCATGGTGAAGACAGAGATAGAAACCAACAAGAGGATCTGGCAATAGGCCAGATAAGACACTATGAGAATACAGGTTGAAAATCCCAAATTTGAAAATCTGAAATCCAAAATGCTCCCAAATCCAAAACTTTATGAGCACCAACATGATATATAATGCAAATACTTCAATATCCAAAATCTCAAACACTTCTGGACCCAAGCATTTCAGATACAAGATACTCATCCTGTATGAGCTTGGACAGTGATGGTGACCACAGAGTTGAGTGGAAATTGCAAGAGATATTTGCATCTCAGAGCTGACAAAACTCATTGTCATAATACATGTGCTTGTGTAGGGGTAGCTATTAAAGTGGAGGGAGATTTTAAGAATCTGTCTAGTTTTAAGCCTTAGATTAACTGATAGATGTAGTGCCAGAGAGCTGAGAGAAAAGGAACTGTAGGATAGGAAACAAATACTGAGGACAGGATGGTCAATTCAATTTGAGCTTGTTGAGCTGAAGTGCCTGCAGATTACTCAAGTATGGCTGATCCATTAAACAGTCAAGTACAGGGATAAGGATAGAGGCCCTAATTAGAAATAAATTATCAGAATTTTTAGTATTAAAGTAGAAATTGATGCTACTCAACTTCATCCTTCACCCTGTGGCTCCCATGAATTATTTCACTATTCATTTTTGGTGGAAGGCATTATTGGCTGTCTATCCAACAGCTGTATCTCTGCCTTCATTCTTTGTTACTGGAAGAACCTCACTTTCGTTTGAGAGTCCACTATCTTAAGTCAACTACCCAGAAGTGCAGAAATCAATTCTTGGCCAAAGTTTGGGTCATGTTTGATATAAACCAGTCATGGAGATGTGTCAGTGATGAGCTTAAGCAGAGGAGACAGTCAGACAAAGCCAGGTTCAACTCCCAGTTCTCACTTACAAATTGTGTCACTTTTGATCAAATTACTTGAACTTACTAAACATCAGGTAATTAATTTACATGAGGGGATAATAATAATATTACAACTCACTAGCACACTCAATATTGTATGCTTTCTCAAGTCCACACACACTCTGGATGCTAAAGAGAGGGTGGTGATACACACTCGGTCATAGCCTTCATGAATTTATTGCCATTCCAGGAGTACAATGCCAAAAGTAATGACAATAGAGAAAGATAAATAAATGTGTTGAGCACAGTTATCTATTAGAATTTATATTTATTCCAAAGAATTAAGGATCAAATTAGATAATGTATGCACATCTCCAAATGCACTGCCTGGCACACCATAATTGCTCAATAAATGACCGACACATTGCATTAAGAGTTAGTAAATGGTTGAAAGTTTCACTGTTAAAAGACAGGGCATTAGTAAAACTCCATATCTGTGTGGTCGTAAAATGTGAGATACTTGGGAATCATGATGATCAGCATATTAAATTGGAGCATTAAATATAATATAATACATAATTTAGCTGATTTGGCATTAGAGCTTAGCATTTGGTCATGGAGTTATTTGAATGGCAAATAAGAAATGCTTTAGTATAAAGAAGTTTTGTACACTGCACACACATACATTACATATATATACATTTACATATACATATATATATATCTTTTGCCATTTTCCCTTAGCTTGATAACTTTTACAAAGTAGCTTCGATCAATCTCTAACCAGAAGTGTCATCAGTGAATAATGCCATCAGAGTCTTATTAAACATATCCTGCACAAGTATGTCCGGAGCAAAGATAAAGTGTCGACAGGATGATGGAGTTTAGCCTGCAAAATTGATTATTTTACTTCCCAACTCTCTAGCCTTTAATTGAAATGGATAGATTTGACGGAGCACCCTTGGCCTTGGCCACAGTGTCTGGCAGAGCCTGAAAACTGACACCCTGACTTCTGAAGGCACTGAGCCAGAGGTTTCCATAGGTCAATTCTCCCTCGTCACTCCATCCCATAGCAGAGGATGGGATCAATAGGAAATTGGCCAGGTCGCCACTCTGACGCCTTCCATCCTCAGTGCAAGAAAATGGAGCTTACATTACCCCAACAGCAGGGAACAAAATTAGATTTTAGTGGTCACTAAAATGTTCCACCACCCATCAAAATCACCCTCACTGGGGCTGGAGGAGGGAAATACAAGTATTCTTGCAGGAAAAAAAGTCTTGGAATTGTTCTTCCAAGATAATTAACAGATTTCACTCCCACTAAATTGGAAACTGGGCAGTGGGTGAGTGATCCTAACACAGTTTGTTTAAGTTTGGTGCCACATTTTTTACAATGATAATCTTTGGAAGCACCAGGCGAATGACGCAGACGAGGCTGAGGAAATGTGTGGTATAGATTAAAAAATGCAGAGGTTGAAAAGGCCATTGGTTCTATGGAAAGATATGGGATGTACCAGGGAACAAAATAGCTAACTGAACAGGTCCCATCTGCCTGACAAAACAACTTAATGATTTCAGAAGTCTTATCAGCATGCAACTTCCTTACGAGTTTCCTTGGTGCACTTGTTCAGGAATATCAACTTAGCCTGGCTTGACCTTTGAAACAAGCACATGTCGGCAGCAGGGTTAGCCCAGTTGATACACTTGCATAGTAGACAAAAGAACTGTACTCCTCTTATTACTAAAGGCTTATTAGAAGTTTATTGAGGGGAAATAAGACTTAGAGGAAAATATGAGTGTGTGTGTATACATTTATACACATAGGAATAATTACATTCTGGTAAGTATCACTCAGTCTCCATTATCATTCAATTGTATAGTACATTCTTAGCATTATTGGAAAAACAAATCAAACATGCAAAAAAAGCCCAGTGTTTTGGGATAGATTACTCTTGTCACCTCTTTAGTTAGTCAATTATCTGTTCTTAGAGGGCTTTTAAGATTGTTAATAGATGAATACTACCAGTTGCTTTCTTCAACACTTTATGTGCAAAATTTTTTTATCATTTTATTTGCAGTGACAAAAACATGAGAATGTGGTTGCAATATATATCTCCAAATATAGTAGAACAATTAATAAATCACAGGGCATTTAATAGATGAAATGTTAGATAGCCATTATAATTTTACATATGAAGACTTTCTGATGCTGTGGGGAAATGTTAATAATATAAGGTAAATTCGTATGAAGAACTGCATATATCCCCACACACAATACACACCAGATACTTATTTGTATTTTTACACGAAGGGAACACAAAAGAGCCACATAAAAGTTAGTGTTTTCCCAAAAGTTTAGTAGTGGTTATTTCCAAGCTGAGGAATTATGAGTATCTTCTTCATATACTTTATTATTTTTAAGTGGCTAGGCATTGAATTTTAAAATAAAAGAAAACGAGAGTCATTTAAAAAAAAGCTTTGTAGAAGATAAAGAATGCTATAAAGTGTCTTAGTTGTCAAAATCACTGACCTTTTTTCCTAAACCGTAGGAGTTCATTGCTATTATCCCAGCATCCACTGAGAGAGAATCCAGATTCCTCAGAGGGTGAAATAACTTGCTAGGGTACAACAGTGACTTAGTAATGAGGTCAGTTCTGGACTCTACCCAGGAACACTGAAAGCTGCTGTGAATGGTTTGGGGTCTTCCACTTCTGTCGTTCAACTGGCTGCTTTATGTTTTGTGACTTGTGGCTCAACAGCCATTGTAAATAACTGCTTCCCTCTCCATGAGAGGCTTTTATTGGAAGCATTAAGAACCCTACTGGTATAGCTTACTTCATGACATTTTCCAAAGTCACAAGGAGTACGACATGACATTTTACAGGGCTGTGATTTTGCAAACATGTCTATAAAACATTATTAAAGTTTCTTATTAAACTAGACTAATTTGACTGGGACAACTGGTGGTTTGGAAAGTTTGTTCTTGCATCACAACTAGGTCTTCTGGTGACTGATTCATGCCTTTATCCTCTGACGAGCCTTTGCCATACCATGGGGCCACTCTGCTTTAGAAGCCAATTCCTTTCAACTTCTCATTACATTTGAGGAAAGACACTTACTTGTGCCAAGACATATTTTTAATTAAAGGGAAAAAGAGGGGAGGGATAAATTTATTCAAATCTAGAAAGCCCTTTAAAAATTTAAAAATTTACCCAAACGGATTTACTAGTAATGAGACTCAATTAACTATAGATGGAGCATTGATGACATTATATGAACATATAGCAAGGTGTTTATCAAAATGTGCCCTGATTAGCGTTAAAAATCTATTACACAAAGAAAAATATGTGGCCAAATGCGTTGGGGAACTACTAGGGTAAGCAGAGTTATACACATTTATTTACTGCAGGATTTGTCAGGATTCTTTTTTTTTTAACTTTTATGCTCAGGGGTACCTATGAAGGTTTGTTATATAGATAAACTCACATCACGGGGGTGTGATGTACAAATAATTTTGCTACCCAAGCACTAAGCCTAGTACCCAATAGTTATTTTCTTTTTGGATTATTTATTTATTTATTTATTTATTTTTGGTCTTCCGGGAGGAGTCCAGTGCCCTGTAATAGCAGTTGACATCTTTTACTGTAAATTTTGTCTTTCTTCTTCTGGAAGCCAATCCTGTCTCCTGATCTTAGGAGTGAGCACATGACCATGCCTGGTCAATCACAGAGTCCATATAATTTCTTCAACAGTAATTGGTCCAATGGCCAGGCATATGAATCATATAGGCCAATCAGAGCCTTCCCTGGGATTCTATAGAAATGATGACAGAAGAAACATTCCGTTTCCTTCACCCCCACCCTCTCCAATCCCTTTTCTTGCTATATTTTTTCTCTTAGCATTTGACATCATCCCGCACACTATGTATGATTTTATTTATTTTGTTTTTTTGTCCATCTTAACATGTAAGCTTCATGAGGGCAGGTGTTTCTGTCTATTCTGTTCACTCATGTATTCAGTATGTGGCACATAGTAGGTGCCCAATAAATATTTGTTGCTGAATCTTGACTATATCAATAAGTATGCATAGAGTGTACTGTTTCTAAATTTATTTAAAAATAAAACACCTTATCTTCAAGGCATTTGGAGATATTAGTTCTTTGTGAAAATCTTTGTGAAACACTGTATTTATAAGAGTCCTAATAAAATGTCGGAGTAAACATGAGTACTTTACAAATGAGGAAAATAAGACATTCATAGGTTAATAATTGACCTAAAAGTCCACACTGCACTTGAAGTTTTTGCATTTGAGCTTTCAGCTCTTCACATTGATTATGCCACCACATAAAGAATGCACATTACATGCCAGACTCAATGATGGGTCTGTCTTCTCTGGCACACTGTCTAACTAAAACATCAATGTGCCCAGACGGGTCAGGATGGAATCCCCCTTTTGTCCACAAAACTGAGGATATGACATCTCCAAGGCTGCACTGCCACATGCCCAGGCTATTCCCCAGTTTGCATTTCTAATGCAGAGCAAGTACTGCCTCCAACCTCCATGCCACCTCTCCACCTTTGGAAAGATCTGAATTTCCCCCAAAGTTATAAAAATTTTATAACTAATAAACCAAAACACATCCTGAAAGTCTGTGTCAAGCAGATGTTACAGGCTGCACTTTCAACATCCATTCAACCAATATTTCTTGAGAACTTTCTAGGTGTCAGGTAATACATTAGGCACAGGGGCTGCAAAACGGACATGGTGTCTTTGATGGAAAGTGTAAACTCCAGCAGAGGAGACAAAGAAAAACACACTAAGTAAATACAATATAAGCTTTGGTGATTGTGATGTTACAAAGAGAAAAACACAATAGAAGATTTCTAAGGAGCTCAGTTTCAGATGGGCGTCTCTGAGGAGCTTTGCTGTTCTGCTCATCAAAGATAGATAGATGTAGGGATGCAATGCTCAAAAAGAGAAAGAAACTTCAACCACGCTAACCCAGCCCTTTAGCCTTTGGGAAACTGACACTAAGATTGATTCTAGAGTTGAATTGTTTTCCTTTTTTCATTAAATAACTAGGTAGCATCAAGGAGTCCCCCAAAAGGACCGGGCCTTACCACCAAACAGATTTTTTGCTGAACTGAACCTCAGATTTTGATGGGAAGTGCTGTGTTGGAGGTGAATGCCAAGTGCTTTATGCATGTAATAGCACTGTTCTTCATTATCCATTATTTATCAGCCTGGGGAGACTGGAGGAGAGAGAGCAAGACCCCTCAGCTTAATGTGAAGTCTTTATCTTTCAGCTTTTTGAGCTCAAATATGCCAACAGAAGCTATTGAATTGCCGTCAGTGAGCACACACATCAATGGCTTGCCAGCTCGCAGCCTGAAATGCTCAGGGCCTCAGAGATGAAGCCACAGGAAATTCAATCAGGTTCTTAGGGGAGTTGATGTTGGCAGATATTTTAATTGTAGAGCCATGGGAACAGGTGAGTGGTGGGCTTAAGGACAAACACTCTCCCTCTGAAGTATTTTAGTCCTTTATTCACAAAACAGAGGTTCTCAACTTTGGCTGCACATTGGTGTCACCTGGAGAGTTAACAAACAAACAATCAAAAAATCTGATGCCTGAGTCCCACTCCTAGAGAATATGCTTTGTTTGATCTGGGATTGGGAGTTTTCAAAGCCACCCAGGTGATCCTAATGTGCCATCAGTGCTAAGAACCACTTCTATAGATGTAGGCATTACAGTGAGGGGCAACTTTGATGTGTGGAGACCTTGCCTTGCCAGCCTCCACAAAAGATGAATCAATCAATAGGCAGATTTTATTTCACGTGTTCCCATTCCACCATTTTGATAATTTAGTCTCCCTGGTCAATTTACCAATGTTTAAATCACGGAAATGATAAGGTTTCCAGTTATTTACTTAACAGGTGGGCTTTCTTAGTTGTCTGTTCTAAGGAGGAAGGATGCTACACCAGTTTAAGAAAGAGGTTATGTAGCCATTGTGTGTCTAACCTGGGTGTTCTCCAGAAGGGTAGAAGAGATGGGAGCCCTGGGGGAAATGAGAAGACCAGAAGGATATTAATCCACGATGAATGAAAAGAAACCATCCGTGCAGTAGTTCACAAAACTGTTCAACAGGATTGTTTTTCAACTGTATACCCTATAAATTTGATGTTGAAATACTTTTATCACAACATAAATGTATTTTCCCACCAAATTATTTAGTTATGGGTCTTTCTATCTGCTACGTAGAGTTTCTTTGCAGAAGGATATCATCGCTGATACAATTCCAACCCAAAGCAAAGAAACTCAACTTTGAGTGTGTTCTTGCACAGGTATTAGCCTGAGTGATGACTTCTGCCAAGCTTTTCAAAAAGTGAAAAGTGGAGGATAGACACACAGCATATTCAGAGACCCCTAGGTCCCCAGAAAGAAATAAGGTAGGCAACAGATATTAATCACCTATCACAGGCCAGGCACTTTGTTAAAAGATAGGTAACACCATCCTCATTTCATGGGTCAGGAAATTTGGCCTCTGAGAGATCAAGTTATTGGCTCACCAGTCCCAAGGCAGTGAATGGAGCAGGGAATCAAATTGAGTTCTCTATCTTTCTGTGCTGTTTCTTCTCTTCCATGCTAACCCCTGCGGGAACTTCTGAATTTAGACTTCTATCAGCAAGAGAGACTCCTTCTTGGCCCCCAAGGAAGCCACTTTTATTGGGTCTCTGAGATTTCCTCCACCTATCTCTGAGAATGATACCCTGAGATTATAGTCCCAGTTAGAAAGCTTTTCTTGCTTCAGCTCTGAATGCTTTCAAGTGTGTTGGTCAGGGGAGGAGCTCTGACTTCAGGTTGTCTAGGATGTAATATAGCTCCCTAATTCACCAGCTGTGCTGCCCCTGGCCACTCACTCACCCCTCTGAGCCTCCGTTTCTATCATCTGTGAAGTGGAACAATAATAGTACCTATTAAATAAGGTTTTCATGAGGATTAAGAGATAATCAAGTTGAACACTCAGCACAGCATGCAGTAAATGACCAGTAGATGTCGACCACACCCTTACCACAATCCCCCTCCACCAGGGCCTGGGTCTCCACTTTTCCTCATACCAGCAGGCAGAGAAACCAATCATTGGCCCCTCTGAGCTTCCCTTGATTAGAGGACTTAGCCCGAGTAGTGCACCGCCTCCATCACTGCTGTTTCAGCTCCTGCCCTCCTTCTGCATATTGATCCCATCACCTTGCCTCCTCAGCCTCCATTCATATGGAGGCAATGCAATTGCTTATTTCAGAATGAGAGTGAAGCAAACTGATTTCTCTGCTTTGAAGAATAGCTGAAACCCCCTCGATTTTATGCGGTGTTAATCAGGCCTGAAAGAAGTGACAGAAAACCAATAGCCAGGCTTGGAAATCTGCTAGAAAAACACACCATAAAGGCTCATTGGTTTCCTGTGCATAAGTGAGAGCTAAGAGGTTTCTGGAGAGCTTCAGAAACTGCCGCTTTGATTCCTGCCCAAGCTGGAGCTGGGTAGAAGGGGACGAGGTCCCAGCTCAGACCCCCACTGTCTCTGCCTTGTTGTTGAGGAGGACAACTGGCTTAGTTCAGAGGTGACTGAAGTCCATGCCCTGTCCCTTCGAATGACTTTTCTAGAACCTATGCCTACACACATCGACATGCCCTGGGCTTGAACACACAGGTCCAACTTGTGTCTCAGCATAGTGATGTTTCAAAGAATGCCACAGTTGTTAAATTCTAATTAAGACACCAAAAACCCAAATCAAGGTCACAACGTCTACTCTTTCGATGACAAGTTCTATATAATAGCAATATCTGCACTGACAATTCCATGTGTAAAACACATCACTGTATACTGTCTCATAAATGGAAATAGCAGTGATGAGAAGGAGGTGTCCTTACTCAGATAAATGTGCCCCAGTTATTTTTATTTGATTTGATTTATAAAATAAGAGTAGAAATTTCTATTTCACAAAAGTATTGTAATGATTAAATGGGGACCTTTTTTCTAATATGTAGTAGCTATTAAATTATATGCCCAATAGAATCTGAACCCAAAGAAACCAACCTTCATCAAAATCTCACATTCCAGTAGTGGCAAGACTCAGTCTTGAAGGCAAGCCTTCAGAGATCTGCTTACCTTAGTCAATGACTAAAACCTCTGTTAGGATTTTGCAGGGCCAATTTGTGTGTTATTTCTACAAGGCAGCAGGGGCAGGAGGGAAAGAGACGCCCGACAGAGGCCTTGGAAAGAAAAGTCTCAGGTGTCAGCATGTCCAGGTTTGAAGCAGGTTGCATTTGGCACAAACTATGTGAACTTGAACAATTCACTTTTTTCTGAGCCTCAGTTTCCAAATATATAAAGTTTCCCAGTAATATTTGCCTTGCAAAATTTTTGCAGTGTTTAGGTGCAACAATATGTGTAAAGACACTCTCAGTACTGGGCACACATAGAACAACAGTGTGCCCAACTGGAGAGTTTGGATAAACAATGAGAAATGTTAGCTGGAGCAGAAGGGAAGTGTACACATGTGACCTCCCCTCAAGCAGACAAGAGAAAGGGATAGCCCAAAGCCATGCCACTCAGTATGCGCAAGTCTAAGTCTTCATCAGTTGCACAGATGAAGCCCTACAGTGAACTAGAGAGGACATCAAAGGGGAGGCAAGTTGTTCCCTAGTTGACCCAGACCACACAGCTGCAAGACCCATGGTGATCTGACCTCTAGAGGAAAATGCAGTCTTAGTACTCCAGGAAGAACCTCATTTTCACTGTCTATAAGGTAAGGGCAATCTCTATCACTCTTGCAGGGGTTGAAACAGATAACTCATGTAGAGTGAACCAGGCCGACCTCAGTACTAGTCTAGCACATAGTCAATAAAAATATATATATTTTAATCTACTTTGGATAGGTCCTGTCCTTACTGGAGGTAGGTATAAAACAGGCTCTTCTTAGCGTCAGCTAAGGCTTAAGTTCCAGCTCTGTTTCTTACCAGCCATATAGCCTTGGGTGAGTCAGTATATCTCCATAAGCTTCCAATTTCTTATTTCTAAAATGGGATTCACAAAAACAACAACCATATATCAACAACAATATACACATATATATAAAAACATGGGGATGTTGAGAGCCTTAGGAAATACCTCAAATTATTTAGCACAATAAATATTAGCATTTATAATGCTACAGATCCTTAAAATACCATATTATATCTAATGTAACTATGGCTAATCTGTTATTATTAGGTATAATGCATAAGGAATACAGTAGCTGTTAGTTTTGTTTCTGACAGTTTGAAAGAAGAGGCTTTGAAGTTGTCCTTCATTAACCAGACAGTATGCTTACTCAGACAATTCCAGCCCCAATAACCAAAATGTAGAAGCAGGAGGAATCTCTTGAGGCACCCAGAAAAGGAGATAAAGACAGATACCTGGAGCCCATTGGATGTCAAAGAGAATTGGGTAAAAACCTGGAGGGCAGTTGCTGTGTCTGTTAAATTCCTGCAATCAAATAATGATAACCTACTGAGGATGGAAGCCAAAGGAATTTTCCATAATTCTAGTACCAGATGGGATTTGGACACACATCTAGTATGGGATTTGGACACACACCTATTTTATTATGTCTAGTACCATAAAATTAAAATGGGAGCATAGATGCCACATTCTCAAGGATCGCGAGGACCTCTGTCATCTGGCTGCAGGGCCAGATGTATGTAGCAAGCTCCTGGGCCACAGGAAATCCTTCAGCAGTTTCAGAGAGTTCAAGGCTCCTCTGAGCTCACTGAGTGGGACAGGGCTTTGTGAGCATCTATAGAGCCACAACAGAGTCTTAACTCTCATCTATCTCTAGGGTAAACATATTTAATTGGCCCTCTTTCACCTCCATACAGACAAGAATCAGTCCTCTGTGCCCACTTTCGCTTGAGATTCAAAATACTTTTTCCTGTTTCAAAAAATCATAGGTGTTGAGAGATAGTCTGCCTTAACCTTCTTGATTTACAGAGAATAACATTTTTTCCAAAACATTTTCCAATAGTGTCCTAAGCCATTGGCATAAATACCTCATATGTTCCTGATATGGATCCTAGATGACAATTATCAGTATTTGGATAGAGGATAGAGTTTGGATATTGGAGACAGACTGATGTGTGTCCAAATCCTGGTGCTTCCACTTTCAAGATGGATTAATTCAACTTCTCATGTCTTAGTTTACCCGTCACTACCCTAGGCACTGGGTATATAATGGAGCATGAAATGGACATGGCTTCTTCCTGCATGAAGCTTAAAGTCTAGCTAGGACAGATGAGCCATAAATAAGTAAACAAATGTATAAATCTAGAGTTATAAATTAGTGAAGTACTCAAATGATAATAAGCAGATTGCTATGATTTAGATTAAGGGAGAAGACAATCTATTCTGCTAAGATCTCCCTGCATGAGTGGCGATATTGCAACTGAGACTTGAAGAGGGAAATAGAGCCTGCTAGGGAAATGCTGGAGGATGCTAGCTGGCCTGCCAGTCTGGAGGGGAGAATGACCCTACATAGGATACATCTGCCAGTCCCTAGCACCCCTTCTGATACAAAGTTCTGCTCAATAATCTGAATAATAATAACTGAATCTGAAATTTACTTTCCAATCAATCAAGCTTAGACCCAGAATTGACTATGAGAATTACCCAGGCTTAATAATTCATGGAGGAGGAGGAGAAAACTTTCCCACCCCCTCCTTCTACAGTCAAATCCCACTGACATCACCACCAGTGTCAGTTGCCTGGGAAAGTGTCACACAGATTGACAAATGTGGAGTCACAAAGCAAAGGAGGTGGGGAGACTGGACCCCACCCAAGTTATCCTGACACCGGGGCTGCAGTTCTCCAAGTGCCCTCTCCCAGGGATTGCAATCCCTCAAGGCAATTCACCTTCTTGGAGTAGATCCTCCCCATCACTATCCACACCCCCCAGCACATTTTTAAAATAAAATCTTATTTTTATTTCTACTTTTTGTCTATTTCAACCTGAATTTAAGTTGACTAAGTCTAGGCTGTCCTAAAGCCGTCTGAGCTGGGCTTCATTCAGGAGTGGGGCCTGGGAGAAGAAACTGCTCCAGTGCAGAATCAGAGACCCTTCAGGGTGCTGGGTCCGGGGTCTTGGAAATCTGGTGGTGGTGTCGGGGGTGGCTATGGTATAGATGTCTGGGTGCTGAGCGCAATGCTGACTCAACCAGAAAGAAGTTGCTGCTGGAATGAATTATGTGTCTGTGATTTCGCAGAGGCGCCATAAACCAAACAACACCCAATGGTGTTATGGGGTCCCTTTAAATTTATAGCCTGCCCCCTGCGGAGTGGTCTACCAGATTAGGATGCAGGAAGGGAGAGAGAGTGAGTGTGTGCATTTTGAGAGCAGAGAGACAATGAGACAGGGCAGAATTGTTAGAAACATGAGGAACCACAGTGAAAAGAGGTGCAGTGACAAAAAGAAAAATTACAGTGAGCAAGGGAAAGAGTGGGATAGAGGAAAAGATTGAAAAATAGAAATAAGTCTGAAACACAGACAAAAATAGCCAGACAAAATCATGAAGTCAGAGAAAGTGAGTAAGACATTAAAGGAGAGACAGAAAGAGAAAGAAAACAGATAGATGGGAAAACATTCCTGAAAAATTCAGTTAAAGAAAAGGAGAAAAGCTGAGAGTCAGAGAGGGAAATGGAGAGAAAAGAGGTGGAGAAAAGCAAAGAGGAAAGAGAACAGGAGAAAAAAAAGAAATGTAGAGAAAAGAGGTGAAGAAAAGCAAAGAGGAAAGAGAACAGGAGAGAAAAGAAAGAAAAAAGACTACAGCCTAGAGAGAGAAGGAGAAACAGAGTCAGCAACAGAGAAACACAATTACAGAGCTACAAACATAGAGACTAAGGTACAGACAGGAAGGCTGCACAAGAGGCAATGAAGCAAAGACATCCAAATAGACAGAGGAAGCTGCAAGGAGGAACAGGCAGCTACAGGGAGAGAGATACACACCGAAAGACACCAGAGACAGAAAGACCCCGGAAGACCCCACAGCAACTGCAGAAACCAGTGCTGACAACGTGTTTTTGGGGTGTGCAGCTGATGAGACCTGAGATGGTCCCAGCTTCTGCTCTGGCTGGGAATGGCCCATGTGGGTTTGCAATAACAGGATCCCTTTAATGAAAAAACTCCAACTCATAAATGGTGTCTGCTAAAAGGGCCTCTTTTGCTTTCTTGGAAATGGAAGTGGGAGTTACTTGATATTGCTTTTCTGAGAAACAGGTATATGTGTCAAAAAATGGCCCTTTCCAGCATCTAAAAGAAAACGCCAGCCATTTTCTACCTCAGATGATTTTTTTTTCCTTTTATTATTACAACTCGCTACTCTGAGTGGATGTGTTTTGAATGTCTGTAGCAATTCTTTTCCCATTAGATTTCCGGATAACACCTACCGCAAGGGAAATGCAATTTTTTTGCCCTGTGAATCGTTTATGTCCTCATCAAAATATGTCTTTAACAACACCCTAGGAGGTGATTTTCAAAAGAACTTTCCAGTGTGAAGATTTTTAAAAATCCCCTCCTCTGTCTCTCCAGTTATCAGTTAAAGAAATAAAAATAAAAAACAATTCCCTCCTAAACTCTCTGCAGTCCCTAGAAGGAGAAAGTAACACTGACTTGGGAGCATTTAGCTCACATAATTTTGTGTTTTCTTTAATATATACAATACATATTTACCACTTATTAAATTTTAGTCCTGTGCCAGGCACTTTGCAGAAAGTATCAAATTTAATCTTTCCTGCAATATTGGCAGAGGTATTATTGTCCCCATTTCACAGAGAAGGAGACTGTGGTTGAAAAAGGATAAGTAACTAGCTGGAGGCCATGGTGTTAACAATGACATCTCTAACATATGCAATAGTAATATGCCACACATGTATGCAACATTGCAATATTAGATACTATTGCAATATATGCAATATATTGCATATCTAATATATGCAGTATTATTACTATTGCATATTATTACTATTGTATATATTAGAGATGTCATTATTATTAGCCCCGTGGCCTCTGGCTAGTTACTTATCCTTTTTGAACTTCAGTCTCCTTTTGACCCAAGACTTCTTGTCAGCACTGGTTTCTGCAGTGACTGTGGGTTCATCTGGGGTCTCCCTCTGTCTCTGGTGTCTCTCAGTGTGTTATTTCTCTCCCTGTGGCTGCCTGTTCCTCCTTGCAGCTTCCTGTGTCTCTTTATCTGGGTACCTTTCCTTCTTTGTCCCTTGCTCAGCCTTCTTGTCTGTACCTCAGTCTCTGTGTTTGTGACTCTGTAATTGTGTTTCTCCGTTACTGACTCTGTTTCTCTGTCCCTCTCTGAGGTGTAGTCTTTTTTCTTTGTTTTTTCTGTGTCATCTCATGGGCATCTCATAATCTTTTGTGATGAGCATTAGGATACCCGTTTCACAGATGAAAGCTCTGAGACTCAGATAATTGAGGTAAATAGCCCAAGACCACATTAACAAATAAATGGCAGATCAAAAACTCACACCATGGCTTTGTAATTCCAAAGCCTGTGTTCTCAATCAAAATGGTTGTTGTCTCTCATTGTTTTTGCCAGAAATCACAAACATCTCTCAAAGATTTGAGCTCAATGAAGGCAAGGGTGCATTTTCATGACTAGTATGTTTCCCCCCAAGGAATGTGAGTTCCATAAGAGCAGGTAGCTTTGTCTCCAGCACCAATAACAATGTTTGGCAGTTGTAAAGGCTCAATACATAGGTGCTGAATAAATGAATCTCTGATCCCAGCAGCTGTTGTCTTTCTTGGCACATGATTGGTGCCTCCTTGCCTGATAGCCTGCCACCCTTCAGCAGAACTGTACTGCTCTGAAGCTCAGTGGTCCTCAGTGTGCTGACTTCTGTAATATTTTTGCTGCTCGAAGAAAACAAAGAATTTCAAAGTCCAGCACATTTGCCCTAAGGATGCAAATCAAATGCCTTTATGGAACAATGGCCAAAAACAGGGGCTCTTATTAAAACCCTCACTTGGGAAACTCATGATTTGGAAAAAAAAAAAGAAAGAAAGAAAAAAATGGCCCCTTGCTTGGTCATCTATTCCTTTGGGCTGCTCAGACTTTGGTCTCATTTTTAACTTTCAAATTGTAAAAAAGGACTTTGGTTCACGTTCACCACTACACAAAGGAGGCAGTGACACAGTCAGTTGTTGCTTTCATTAGCAGCCTGCTCTGATCGGGCTCGCTTCACACCCTGGCCTTGTACTGACTTTAATTTGCAGGGCAAAAGCAAATCTAATTGAATCACATGGGGGCTTTTGCAAGCTGGCACCTAAGAACTTTATGGTGAATTTTGGTTCGTATTAAATAAGGAACATGAGCCCGGGAATAAAGACAGGGTAAAGAAGTAAACTTTTTGAGCCACAAGTGTTTTCTCCTTAGTGTCTAATTACGAGAGCAATCTATGCTCTTTCTGGATGCCAGATTCTAATTGTTCTCTATTTATAATAAAATATAAATTCAGTTACGGCTAGAGTTATTGATTAATATTTCCACAAAATAATGGATCTTGGATATATGCCCTTCTAGATAAGAGATCCCTATATACATGTCATTATTACTTCCTCCTCCAGCTGTTTTTGCCATGTTGGTTAATGGTGAATCAGCCAATGGCTTGATCCAGCCAGAACCTTGGAGTCATTCTTGACTCTTCCCTTTCTCATACATTGCCCAATGTAGAAGGCCATGAATCGTATCCATTTCCCACTTGAGTTTCCTTGGATGCCATTTATTTCTCTCCTTTCTTACCACTTTAGCCCTATCCTGTCTCTCAGGGAAAACTGACATAGCCTCCTGCCTGGGCATCTATTGTATTACTCTCTAATAAAGATCCATTGAGAACAGGGTTCTTCCAACAAACCAGACATCTTGATAGTGTGATGGGAGCAATGGTAACTACCAGTTAAGTAGCATTTACCCTATGCTGGGCCATTCATTTAGTGCACTGCATGCATTACCTCATTAAAGAGTTGCTTGGTTTTACAGATAAGAGAACTAAAACCTCGGAGAGGTTGTATAAATGCCCTAACATCAATGAGCTGGTACGCAGTAGTAGCAAGATTCAGCCTGGTCGGGCATCCTGTACCCTTGGCCACTCTCTTATTCTGCCTCATCAAGCCTTTAAGTTAAATCAGCCTTGTCTAGAAGCCCAGTTCCAAAATGAACTGACCCTAGGAACCAATGTGAGCAATTTTAGATTCTGAGCCTTAGTTTTCTCATTTATAAAATGAGCATTATAATATTTATTTTGGGAATTATTTGCTAGGATTAAATGAGCTAATGGCTATAAAATCCATAGCAATGGATCATGCATGTGCATAAAAAAAAACAAACAAAAAAATGGAAATTCTTTACTTCTCCCCTAAACATAAGATTTGAATGCAGCTTCCTCAGAAGAGGAAAGATCATTTCTTGGTATATGTATGTATTACACATTTTCTCATACATACGAGAAGGTTCTAGGGTGGAATACTGTATTCGTCAAAGGAAATTGGGATTCAAAACAACATTGCTTGACTTTTTGCTCTCTCCCCAAACCCCCCTGAACCCCTTCATAAAATATGGCTTTTCTACATTAAAAAGAAAAATCACCAACAAAAGCAATCCATGAAAAAATATCTCTATCATCTTTCTGATCATTGCATTTATCCTAATGCCTTTGCTCAAATTTTTCTGCCTACTGCCTACAATGCAAAGTAACTAGCCCTCTTTGTTCTAACACTGCATCTAGATGTTGGGGTTTCTTATGGGCAATTTGAAGATGGCAAATGATGATGGAATGTTCAATCACACACTGAACTGCCCTCCTGGAGTGAAATACACCACACAATGCTTAACTGTTTCCCCGCTGGTGTTTACTGGGGAAGCACTATTATCTCAGGTATGGAACAAGCAACAGAAGGCAGGCTGCAAAGACTAAGGTTTCCTGCTGCCTCAGGGAGCAGTGGGATCAGTTTACCTTTTGAAGGATTGTTTTGTGCATCAATTAACAGGGTCATCATAAACCCCTTCAACACAGAGCAATCAGCCAGCTGTTGTAGTGGAAAGAAAGGTGAGTATAATACAGAGTCCTGGCTCACCTGGACTAGGCCCAGCTTGCCCTTCAGAATATTGGAATCAAGTGTTGGGGGAAAATTGGAGGGAGGTTCAGATATGCACCCTGTTGCCTTGCAGCATCCTTGGCAAGGGAGTGTAATTTCAGGCACCCTGAATACCACCAGCAGCCAAGAGGCTTTGAACCTTTAACTGTGACCTTTCTGGCCTTGTATCTATTTCCCAAAAATCTCCCATCTCTTCATTTGTGAACCCCTCATTCTGTTACTCCTCCCTGAAGATGACCTTCAGGGGTACCTTTAAAGTTGAAAGGGCTGTTTCAACATTTGCTGTACACATGTGTTCACTTGTTATTCATTTGTTTGTTGATTCATTTATTTACAGCAAAGTTTTACTCTTGAAGTGTGTTGTCCAGACTGGGGAAGGGCCATCACCAGGGCAGAACCCATTAGAGCTTCTAATGTTGAAGATCACCTGTGAATAGTCAGATAGCAACAAAGGGGACACAATTTTTTAATAATCTCAGTCCTCTTAGGAATGAGCCATCAGTTCAGCGCCACCCTTCCCCAAGAGGTTGATGGGCCCAGGAAAGAGCGAGGAGCCAGGACTCCTATATGTGATGAACACTGTCCTTGGTGCCACACACATAATGATGAGTCCATCAATATCCCATCTTCAAACAGGTCAATCTAACAAACACTACTCAGAGCTGTCTGGAGGGAGGCAAAAGAGACTAGAACCTTGAGGACACTCACCACATTTACCTTTCCATATCAAATCAACATTTGAACATGGAAGGAGAGCAAAGGACATCCCAGAATTTGAGAGATGAGGTCATGGGAAGTAGCAAAGACACAGCATGAAGGAATTGAGTAGGGGCCAAGCAGGATGCTTCGGTCCGGAGCAGTTGGTGATTCCCCTTAACGTGAGAAAGATAAGGCATCCAGGTGTAGGGAAATCTTGGAAAATCAGGATGGGTGAGAGAACATGAACACAGAACACAAGGAGACCTCTTGAAACTGGAAAAAGGAAGTCAGAAAAGGACCTGATGGAGGAAAATCAGTTTCCAAAAAGGAGTTCATTCTCTGCTAGTAAACATGACATTCTCTTCATCTGAATCTGAATAAAGTGGAGAGGAAATAAGTGAACTCCTCCATTGCTTTATTTAGAGTTGAACTGGGTTTAATATATGAAGCAGTAGAGAGGAGAGTAATCACCATTACTATTCAAAGCAACCTCATTCATAGTGGCCTGTGATGCATGGTTTTCTCAGGCTTTATCAGGTCATTTTGCCATGCAGGGGGCTCCAGTGCAGGGTCTGTAGCAAGTGGCAAGGCAGGTAATAGTGCCATAATTTCAGACAATTGGGAATCAGACCCCAGGGAGAAAGTTGGCTTTGATATTCAGATCCAGATACCTAGGCTGTCTGTAAGAGAATAAGATTTAGTAGAGGTGTAAATAGAAATAGAAATGCTAAAGAGGAAAACTGAGGCAGAAGGCCAGAAATGGAGTCAGCTCTGAGGAGCAAGGGGAAGAACGAGAGTGGATTTGATGGCCAGAGTTTTGCCAGCCTTGGAAGGCTGGGGCCTATGGCAGTAAGACACTTACTCTTGTGGCTGTGACAGACAAAATGTCTGGTCAGGATTATCTCAGGGGGAGAGCAGAATTGAGGCTTCAGGTCAACATCATCAGTAGTGGCAGCTGAGGGGATTTAGCATGGGCATAGTAGGGGGGCAGAACAGCCTAAGAGGCTAAAATCATAACTCCCTGGCATTCCAATGTTGCAATAAATGAAAGGATTGCAGAGGGCCAGAGAGATGACTGTGGGAGAAAGAATAAATACAGGCTTTGAAGTCCATCAGACCTGGATTTTATTTCTATCTCTGATAATGATGATGACGATGGTGATGACGATGATGGTAGTGATACTGATGATGATGATGTTGATGAGTACATTGAGGGTAAGTGAGATAATGAATAACACATCCTTTGAGCATAGTGAGCAATCAACCTAGGTCAGTTCTTATTGCTAAGAAGACATGGAATTTTCCCTGGATCAACCACATTCCTATCTCTTCGCATGACAGCTGTTGCCTGACACTTTGGTTCTAAGTCCCTACTTCCTCCAGAATAACCACTACCACCACCAGCACAATAACAGTAATTAAAAATAAATAAATAAATAAATAAATAAACTAACACATATAGGGTAATTATTATATGTACATCATTCCAAGTGTTTTTAACAATATTGTTTTCATGCTCATCCATGTGAAGAGACCACCAAACAGGCTTTGTGTGAGCAACATGGCTGTTTATTTCACCTGGGTGCAGGCGGGCTGAGTCCGAAAAGAGAGTCAGCAAAGGGAGATAAGGGTGGGGCCGTTTTATAGGATTTGGGTAGGTAAAGGAAAATTACAGTCAAAGGGGGTTTGTTCTCTGGCGGGCAGGAGTGGGGGGTCGCAAGGTGCTCAGTGGGGGTGCTTTTTGAGCCAGGATGAGCCAGGTAAAGGACTTTCACAAGGTAACCTCATCACTTAAAGCAAGGACCGGCCATTTACACTTCTTTTGTGGTGGAATGTCATCAGTTAAGGCGGGGCAGGGCATATTCACTTCTTTTGTGATTCTTCAGTTACTTCAGGCCATCTGGGCATATACCTGCAAGTCACAGGGGATGCGATGGCTTGGCTTGGGCTCAGAGGCCTGACATTCCTGCCTTCTTATATTAATAAGAAAAATAAAACAAAATGGTGTTGAAGTGTTGGGGCGGCGAAAATTTTTGGAGGGTGACATGGAGAGAGAATGGGCGATGTTTCTCAGGGCTGCTTCAAGCGGGATTAGGGGTGGCGTGGGAACCTAGAGTGGGAGAGATTAAGCTGAAGGGAGGTCTTGTGGTAAGGGGTGATATTGTGGGGATGTTAGAAGAAACATTTGTCGTATAGAATGATTGGTGATGGCCTGGATACGGTTTTGGATGAATTGAGAAACGAAATGGAATAAGAGAAGGAGAAAAATAGGTATAAAAGGTTTAAGAATTGGGACGACTCAGGATATCTGATTAGAGAGTGCCTCAGGAGATTCAGCATAGTCCTGCCAGCAAAGATTATTTATTTACTTCAAGAGTTTAGAGTGGCAGTTTGGGGATAGCACCAGGAGATATCAGCTGTGATGGCTTGGAGAAACAGTGTAAACCGGCAGTGTAAACAAGAGCAGGGCATGTATGAGTAGTTGAGAACGATGAATAGGAGTATGACTAGACAAAAGATAGTAGGGATGACAAGTTTTTTTGGGGGCACAGTCTAAGTTGCTCTGGTGTCGAATGAGACTGGGGCCTAATAAAAAGGAGCGTCTATACAGGAGCTTAAATGGGCTCCTGTACACCTTGTAGCATTCTGAGGACAGGCCTGAATTCTGAGAAGCAAAAGTGGTAAAAGTATTGTCCAGTCCTTTTTAAGTTGGTGGCTGAGCTTGGTGAGGTGTGTTTTTAAAAGACCTTTAGTCCACTCTACTTTTCTTGAAGGCGGAGGACCATAAGGGATATAAAGGTTTCACTGAATACTAAGAGCCTGAAAAACTGCTTGGCTGATTTGACTAATAAAGGCTCATCTGTTATCAGACTGTATAGAGGTGGGAAGGCTAAACTGAGGAATTATGTCTGACAGAAGGGAAGAAATGACTGCGGTGGCCTTCTCAGACCCTGTAGGAAAGGCCTTTACTTATTCAGTGAAAGTGTCTATTTAGACTAACAGGTATTTTAGTTTCCTGACTCGGGCATGTTGATTAAAACTAATTTGCCAGTCCTGGGTGGGGGCAAATCCTTGAGCTTGATGTGTAGGGAAGGGAGGGGGCCTGAATAATCCCTGAGGAGTAGTAGAATAGCAGATGGAACACTGAGAAGTTATTTCCTTGAGGATAGATTTCCACGATGGAAAGGAAATGAGAGGTTCTGAGAGGCGGGCTAGTGGCTTGTACTATAGCATAACCTGCCTTTGCTGGTGTGTGGCGATTAGGCCTGGTGGAACCTCCATCAATAAATCAAGCGTGATCAGGGTGAGGAACAGGAAAGAAGGAAATCTGGGGAAATGGGATGAATGTCAGGTGGATCAGACAGATACAGTCATGGGGGTCAGGTGTGGTATCAGGAATAATGTGGGAGGCTGGATTGAAGTCTGGGCCAGGAACAATGGTAATTGTGGGAGACTCAACAAAGAGTGAGTACAGCTGAAGGAGCCAGGAAGCAGAAAGTATATGCGTCAGGTATGAGGAAGAAAATAGATTTTGGAAGTTATGAGAAATGTAGCGAGTGAGTTGAGCATAGTTTGTGATTTTTAGGGCCTCTAACAGTATTAAAGCAGTGGCAGCCGCTGCAGGCAGACATGAGGGCTAGGCTAAAACAGTAAGGTCAAGTTGTTTGGACAGAAAGGCTACAGGGTGTGGTCCTGGCTCTTGTGTAAGAGTTCTGACCACACTAACCATGTTTAGGAAGGAAAGGAGTTGTTGTTTTGTAGAAGGTGCTGGGGTTTGAGAGATCAGTCGGACACTATTGGCAGGGAGAGCACGTGTGTTTTTATGAGAATTATGCCGAGATAGGTAACAGATGAGGAAGAAATTTGGGCTTGATGGAAGTAATGGGGGCTGTCTGTGAAGCTTTGCAGCAGTACAGCCTAGGTAATTTGCTGAGCTTGATGGGTGTCAGGGTCAGTCCAAGTGAAAGTGGAGAGAGGCTGGGATGAAGGGTGCAAAGGAATAGTAAAGAAAGCATGTTTGACATCTAGAACAGAATAATGGGTTATAGAGGCAGGTATTGAGGATAGGAGAGGATATGGGTTTGGCACCATAGGGTGGATAGGCAAAACAATTTGGTTGATAAGGCACAGATCCGGAACTAACTTGTAAGGCTTGTCTGGTTTTAGGACAGGTAAAATGGGAGAATTGTAAGGAGAGTTTATAGGCTTTAAAAGGCCATGCTGTAGCAGGAGAGTGATAACAGGCTTTAATCTTTTTAAAGCGTGCTGTGGGATGGGATATTGGCGTTGAGTGGGGTAAGGGTGATTAGGTTTTAATGAGATGGTAAGGGGTGCATGATCAGTCGCCAAGGAGGGAGTAGAGGTATCTTATACTTGTGGGTTAAGGTGGGGGGATACAAGAGGAGGACGCAAAGGAGGCTTTGGATTGGGAAGAAGGGCAGCAATGAGATATAGCTGTAGTCCAGGAATAGTCAGGGAAGCAGATAATTTAGTTAAAGTGTCTCAGCCTAATAAGGGAACTGGGCAGGTGGGGATAACTAAAAAGGAGTGCTTAAAAGAGTATTTTCTGAGTTGGCACTAGAGTTGGGGAGTTTTAAGAGGTTTAGAAGCCTGGCCGTCAATACCCACAACAGTTATGGAGGCAAGGGAAACAGGCCCTTGAAAAGAAGGTAATGTGGAGTGGGTAGCCTCCATATTGATTAAGAAGGGGACGGGCTTACCTTTCACTGTGAGAGTTACCCAAAGCTCGGCGTTCGTGATGGTCTAGGGGGCTTCCGAGGCGATCGGGCAGTGTCAGTCTTCAGCCGCTAAGCCGAGAAGATCTGGGAAGGAGTCAGTCAGAGAGCCTTGGGCCAGAGTTCCAGGGGCTCTGGGAGTGGCTGCCAGGTGAGTTGAACAGTCCGATTTTCAGTGGGGTCCCACACAGATGGGACGCGGCTTAGGAGGAATCCCGGGCAGCGGGCATTCCTTGGCCCAGTGGCCAGATTTCCGGCACGTGTAGCAAGCTCCTGTGGGAGGAGGTTCTGGAGGAACACCTGGCCGCTGCGGTTCAGGCGTTTGGAAGTTCTCGTGTGCTGGAGATGTGGCTGGGGTTTGTCTCACAGTGAAGGTAAGGAATTGCAACTTTTTTCTATTATTCTACACCTTGAAGGCGAGGTTAATTAAATCCTGTTGTGGGGTTTGAGGGCTGGAATTTAATTTTTGGAGTTTTATTTAATGTCGGGAGCAGATTGGGTAATAAAATGTATTTTAAGAATAAGACGGCCTTTTGACGTTTTAGGGTCTAGGGCTGTAAAGTGTCTCAGGGTTGCTACCAAACAAGTTATGAACTGGGCTGGATTTTTATATTTGATGAAAAAGAACCTAAACGCTTCTGATTTGGGATAAAGAAAAAGGAGCATTAACCTTGACTATGCCTTTGGCGCCAGCCACCGTTTTAAAAGTAAATTGCTGGGCAGGTGGGGGAGGGCTAGTCACGGGCCGAAACTGTAAGCCGGACCAGGTGTGAGGGGAGGTGATACAAAGATTATAGGGTGGAGGAGCGGAGGCTGAGGAAGAATTGGGACCCAGCTCGGCCTGGCGAGGAGCAGCCTGGGGAGGAAGGGAGAGGTCAGATGGGTCTGTAGAAAAGGAAGATTAGAAAGCCTCAGCGACGCTTGGAGTTGGTACTGAGGGGACAGGCGGGAGGGAAAGAAGGAAGATTTGGGACGAGTTGCACTGGGCACAGAGACTAGGAAGGGACTGATGTGTAAAAGAATGCTTGGATGTCAGGCACCTCAGACCGTTTGCCTATTTTACAAGAATTATTTAGATTTTGCAGGATGGAAAAATTCAAAGTGCCATTTTCTGGCTATTTGGAACTACTGTCGAGTTTGTATTGGGGTCAAGTGGCATTGCAGAAGAAAAGGCATTTAGGTTTTAGGTCAGGTGTGAGTTGAAGAGGTTTTAAGTTTTTGAAAACACAGGCTAAGGAAGAAGGAGGAATGGAAGGTGGAAGCTTACCCATAGCGAAGGAGGCAAGTCCAGAGAAAAGAGTAGAGACACGGAGAAGGGGTGGAGGGTTCCTGCCCTCCAGAAAAGCAGAGAAGGGGTTGGGGCACGGAAATAAGGGATTGGGGCACAGAGATAAGAGGTCAGGGTACAGAAATAAGGGATTGGGGCACAGAGATAAGAGGTTGGGGTGCAGAAATAAACGACTGGGGGTTCTTGCCTCCTAGGAAAGCGGGACTTGCCACTAAGGGTGAAGGAGAAGGGGTTGAGGGGTACTTGCCCCTGCCCCAGGAAAGCGGGACTTGCCGCTAAGGGTGAAGGACCAAGGCAGGCGTCCCTGCGTGGTCTGACATCTTTGAAATGTGGGTGAATAATCAGAGAAGTGTCCCAGCAATGATTAAACACCAAGGGAAGGCTGCCTTCCCAGTCCATGACCGGCGCCGGAGTTTTGGGTCCACGGATAAAACGTGTCTCCTTTGTCTCTCCAAGAAAATGAAAGGAATTGAAATTAAGAGAAGGGAGAGATTGAAGAGTGGAAAGGAGAAAGTGGTTGAGGGACAGTGAGAGAGGTTGGAGAAGAGAGTAAGAAGAGGCCGCTTACCTGATTACCAAATTTCATGCGCGTCTGTGTGAAGAGACCACCAAACAGGCTTTGTGTGAGCAACATGGCTGTTTATTTCACCTGGGTGCAGGCGGGCTGAGTCCGAAAAGAGAGTCAGCAAAGGGAGATAAGGGTGGGGCCGTTTTATAGGATTTGGGAAGGTAATGGAAAATTACAGTCAAAGGGGCTTTGTTCTCTGGCGGGCAGGAGTGGGGGTCGAAAGGTGCTCAGTGGGGGTGCTTTTTGAGCCAGGATGAGCCAGGAAAAGGACTTTCACAAGGTAATGTCATCACTTGAAGCAAGGACCGGCCATTTACACTTCTTTTGTGGTGGAATGTCATCAGTTAAGGTGGGGCAGGGCATATTCACTTCTTTTGTGATTCTTCAGTTACTTCAGGCCATCTGGGCGTATACGTGCAAGTCACAGGGGATGCGATGGCTTGGCTTGGGCTCAGAGGCCGACATTTGTCTCATTAAATTCTCAGAAAAAATCCTATGTGGTTGGTACCATTATTACTATCTCTGTATTACAGGTTTGGAAATTTAAAGATACAGAGAGTCACATTGACTTGTCTAAAGCCACAAATCCAGCTCCTCACAATGTCTAAGGCTTTGTTTCAGAAAGTTTTGTCCTCTAGTCCTTCATCATATTATTTGAAGCCCCGACCAGCAACTTCGCGTGGCCCAGCGAGCTGCAGGACCCACTTTGATGGCTCTGTTCTCAGAACAGGGTGGGGAGCACTGGTGGAGAATGCGGCATAAATCTCCACCTCATAACCCAAGAGCCTCTACTCCAAGGCCATAACTCCACATCCATCAGGCTGCGGCCTGGGAGTGTTATTAGAGAAAGCACTGGGGATAATTCTTTCCAGGAAAGGGCTTTTTGCTCTGTGATTGATTAAAGACACCCCCTCTCCAAGCTGCCTCTTGCTGAGGAGCCAGTGGCTCATTTTCACAGCAGTGAGAGAACATTTCTTTGTCCTCCAACAACAGGGGTTCCAGTGAAGACTTTTGATTTCCATATCCCCCTGTAAGAGGAAGGCCCAGAAGCAAAATTCTCGTTAAATATTTATTGCCTCCTCCCCACCCCTTTCTCAGTGTGTCAGGCCCCAACAAACCCCCTTAATCACAGGGCAATCAAGCCCTGAAGAGCTGGGCTTGCTGGCTCAGGAGGGGTGTTGGGCACCCAGCAGAGAGGGGCTGAAGCCTGGGTTTCCTCTAGAGTGGGATGGAATTGCACAGTAGCCACGTGGCCATGAATGGGACTTGGAATTGAGCAAATGGGAAGTTTTGGAGAACAAATTTACTCTCCTATAGCCATCACTCACCAACACCATGTTAATGCACACACCATCTCTTCCTGCCCTCTCAAATGCTTCCCTTCCAGTCAGTTGCTATTGATTTTTTTCTCTGGTTCTGCTTGATCACATCTCTTAAGGAGTTATCCAGGTTCTAGTTCTTGAATTTCCCAGATGGTCCCACCAGCTGGGAACTCACTGTCCCCCCTACACCTAGTACATTGTGACAAGGACAGAAACAATATCCACAGATTTCAACACAAAAATGTGTTGGAAGCTGCTCTCTACAGGCATGGAATTGGTGTGCCCATTCTGCCCACACTGGACATCCAAGATCACTGCTCTTGATCTTGGAGATTCACACTTGATTTTAGCTTCTTTTGGGTGTGATAATCCATAATTAGTTGGGTCTTTGGCTTATTTGATTCTGACTTCACAACTGGGCCTCACCTCTGGATCCTTTTTATCTCCCACCATTGCAGAGGAGAGGTTTTCTCTGCCAGTATAAGCCTCATAGAACTACTCAGTAGGGCTGTCTCTGAAAAGATGTGACAAAAATGAGCCCAAACCCAATGTTGGGATCTGGGAAAAGACCAATTTTTGCTGAAGGGGCTGCAGGCCTGAAGCCATATCTTCAAGGTTGAGTGGGTGGTGACTAGACCAGGAAGCCTCCGTCCCTTGATTGAGACCTTTGGCACCCAGCAGAGGCTTTCTTTTTTCTTTTTTTTTTTTTTTTATTATTATACTTTAAGTTTTAGGGTACATGTGCACATTGTGCAGGTTAGTTACATATGTATACATGTGCCATGCTGGTGCGCTGCACCCACTAACTCGTCATCTAGCATTAGGTATATCTCCCAATGCTATCCCTCCCCCCTCCCCCCACCCCACAACAGTCCCCAGAGTGTGATATTCCCCTTCCTGTGTCCATGTGATCTCATTGTTCAATTCCCACCTATGAGTGAGAATATGCCGTGTTTGGTTTTTTGTTCTTGCGATAGTTTACTGAGAATGATGCTTTCCAATTTCATCCATGTCCCTACAAAGGACATGAACTCATCATTTTTTATGGCTGCATAGTATTCCATGGTGTATATGTGCCACATTTTCTTAATCCAGTCTATCATTGTTGGGCATTTGGGTTGGTTCCAAGTCTTTGCTATTGTGAATAATGCCGCAATAAACATACGTGTGCATGTGTCTTCATAGCAGCATGATTTATAGTCCTTTGGGTATATACCCAGTAATGGGATGGCTGGGTCCAATGGTATTTCTAGTTCTAGATCCCTGAGGAATCGCCACACTGACTTCCACAATGGTTGAACTAGTTTACAGTCCCACCAACAGTGTAAAATGTTCCTATTTCTCCACATCCTCTCCAGCACCTGTTGTTTCCTGACTTTTTAATGATTGCCATTCTAACTGGTGTGAGATGGTGTCTCATTGTGGTTTTGTTTTGCATTTCTCTGATGGCCAGTGATGATGAGCATTTTTTCATGTGTTTTTTGGCTGCATAAATGTCTTCTTTTGAGAAGTGTCTGTTCATGTCCTTCGCCCACTTTTTGGTGGGGTTGTTTGTTTTTTTCTTGTAAATCTGTTTGAGTTCATTGTAGATTCTGGATATTAGCCCTTTGTCAGATGAGTAGGTTGCGAAAATTTTCTCCCATTTTGTAGGTTGCCTGTTCACTCTGATGGTAGTTTCTTTTGCTGTGCAGAAGCTCTTTAGTTGAATTAGATCCCATTTGTCAATTTTGGCTTTTGTTGCCATTGCTTTTGGTGTTTTAGACATGAAGTCCTTGCCCATGCCTATGTCCTGAATGGTAATGCCTAGGTTTTCTTCTAGGGTTTTTATGGTTTTAGGTCTAACGTTTAAGTCTTTAATCCATCTTGAATTGATTTTTGTATAAGGTGTAAGGAAGGGATCCAGTTTTAGCTTTCTACATATGGCTAGCCAGTTTTCCCAACACCATTTATTAAATAGGGAATCCTTTCCCCATTGCTTGTTTTTCTCAGGTTTGTCAAAGATCAGATAGTTGTAGATATGCGGCGTTATTTCTGAGGGCTCTGTTCTGTTCCATTGATCTATATCTCTGTTTTGGTACCAGTACCATGCTGTTTTGGTTACTGTAGCCTTGTAGTATAGTTTGAAGTCAGGTAGTGTGATGCCTCCAGCTTTGTTCTTTAGGCTTAGGATTGACTTGGCGATGCGGGCTCTTTTTTTGTTCCATATGAACTTTAAAGTAGTTTTTTCCAATTCTGTGAAGAAAGGCATTGGTAGCTTGATGGGGATGGCATTGAATCTGTACATTACCTTGGGCAGTATGGCCATTTTCAAGATATTGATTCTTCCTACCCATGAGCATGGAATGTTCTTCCATTTGTTTGTATCCTCTTTTATTTCCTTGAGCAGTGGTTTGTAGTTCTCCTTGAAGAGGTCCTTCATATCCCTTGTAAGTTGGATTCCTAGGTATTTTATTCTCTTTGAAGCAATTGCGAATGGGAGTTCACTCATGATTTGGCTCCCTGTTTGTCTGTTGTTGGTGTATAAGAATGCTTGTGATTTTTGTACATTGATTTTGTATCCTGAGACTTTGCTGAAGTTGCTTATCAGCTTAAGGAGATTTTGGGCTGAGACAATGGGGTTTTCTAGATATACAATCATGTCATCTGCAAACAGGGACAATTTGACTTCCTCTTTTCCTAATTGAATACCCTTTATTTCCTTCTCCTGCCTAATTGCCCTGGCCAGAACTTCCAACACTGTGTTGAATAGGAGTGGTGAGAGAGAGCATCCCTGTCTTGTGCCAGTTTTCAAAGGGAATGCTTCCAGTTTTTGCCCATTCAGTATGATATTGGCTGTGGGTTTGTCATAGATAGCTCTTATTACTTTGAAATACGTCCCATCAATACCTAATTTATTGAGAGTTTTTAGCATGAAGGGTTGTTGAATTTTGTCAAAGGCTTTTTCTGCATCTATTGAGATAATCATGTGGTTTTTGTCTTTGGCTCTGTTTATATGCTGGATTACATTTATTGATTTGTGTATATTGAACCAGCCTTGCATCCCAGGGATGAAGCCCACTTGATCATGGTGGATAAGCTTTTTGATGTGCTGCTGGATTCGTTTTGCCAGTATTTTATTGAGGATTTTTGCACCAATGTTCATCGAGGATATTGGTCTAAAATTCTCTGTTTTGGTTGTGTCTCTGCCTGGCTTTGGTATCAGAATGATGCTGGCCTCATAAAATGAGTTAGGGAGGATTCCCTCTTTTTCTATTGATTGGAATAGTTTCAGAAGGAATGGTACCAGTTCCTCCTTGTACCTCTGGTAGAATTCAGCTGTGAATCCATCTGGTCCTGGACTCTTTTTGGTTGGTAAACTATTGATTATTGCCACAATTTCAGCTCCTGTTATTGGTCTATTCAGAGATTCAACTTCTTCTTGGTTTAGTCTTGGGAGAGTGTATGTGTCGAGAAATTTATCCATTTCTGCTAGATTTTCTAGTTTATTTGCATAGAGGTGTTTGTAGTATTCTCTAATTGTAGTTTGTATTTCTGTGGGATCGGTGGTGATATCCCCTTTATCATTTTTTATTGTGTCTATTTGATTCTTCTCTCTTTTTTTCTTTATTAGTCTTGCTAGCGGTCTATCAATTTTGTTGATCCTTTCAAAAAACCAGCTCCTGGATTCATTAATTTTTTGAAGGGTTTTTTGTGTCTCTATTTCCTTCAGTTCTGCTCTGATTTTAGTTATTTCTTGCCTTCTGCTAGCTTTTGAATGTGTTTGCTCTTGCTTTTCTAGTTCTTTTAATTGTGATGTTAGGTTGTCAATTTTGGATCTTTCCTGCTTTCTCTTGTGGGCATTTAGTGCTATAAATTTCCCTCTACACACCCAGCAGAGGATTTCAAAAGTCATTCTAATCTGTTTCTCCCTGACATCCGTGTTTAGGTTTCTTATCAACACTCCTGCAAAGAGTATCTGGAAGGAGCTGCTTAAAGTTGTGAAAACCATGCTCATAGCAATTGTCAGAGGTGATTGAAGGGGTTAAGAGGAAAGAAGAGGCTCAGGCACCAGTCTATTAGTTTCCCTGGAACTCAGGGCTACTGGAGCCCCAGTAATTTGAGAATCAGTTCTCCAGAAAGGCATCGCTAGGCAAAGTTACTTTAGTGTTAAATAAATAGAATTTGCCTGTTCAAATCATCACCTGCAACTCCGCTCACTGTATGTATGTGTTTTTAACCAATCTCAAACATAACTAGGCAAATAAAGGAAGAACCATAGTTACAGCATTTAAGATGTATGACCAGAATTTGCAACCCAGGCATTTAAGGCAGCAGCAAGAGAGAATGGAGAATTTTAGTCAGGAACAGCAGCGGAGACTATCCCAAAAGGGGCTCTTTAGTGTGGGTGAGCACTAGCTTCAAGCACTAGCTGTGCTATATACCAGTCTGATGAATTACAGCAGACTAGTTATGTAGGCTGGCAAAAGTCTCCCCTAGGGGTTGGTTAATGAGAATCCTGTTGGGCTGCTGGGGCTACCAAATGGTGTTCACACAGACTTAAGAATAGAGGGTTGGAAATTGGTTCCAATTTTTAATAGCTAAATCTTACTTCAATGGGTTGTGATCAGCGGTGATCATATCCTCAAACCAATAAACCAAGAGGTTGTGATAGTTAACTGTGTTTCTGCATCTTCAGAACTCAATGGTGATCTTTTTACCAATATCACTAAGGATGAAGCAGTGGTAGCCTTTCCAGTTCCCTAAAAAGACTGTAAGACAAAAAGATGAACTCACCCTAGCTCCACCCCTGACTTACTGTGTGCCTTTAAGGAACTCACTTTGCTATTCTGAAACCTGAGTTTCTACCTCTGGAAAATGAGAAGGCTATGTTAATGAGTTATCTCAGCCCTTCCAACTCTAACATTCTATCAGTTTGCAACAATGTAAGCTGTGCTTTGTTGATAAGTGCAGTCAGGTTTCCTGTCCTTGGAACATCTACCAATGAGTTATTCTGAGTTACATAACTAATGAGGTTTTCCAGATTACATTGAAAGTTCAAATATCCATTGTCAGCACTCAGTCATGACACCAAAAACTGGGAGGCTACTGAGACTTGAATCCTGTGCTAGAAGCTACTCCAAAAGAACCAGGTTGAAGGGTGTCCCAGAGATGGACCTGGAGTTCTCCAGGAACTGACTCCATTTATAACTGAGCCAACTGCCTAAAAATGCCTGGCTCTTGCCAAAGATATAAGAAACAATGGGCTTTTCCTTTACAAATGTTTCTTCAACTCAAAATATAGGACCCAAAAGTAACCACTCTGAATTGGGCTCTGAGCAATTGAAAGAAATAATATTCTTTTCTTTTTCTTTTTTTAAGTCAGGGTCTCACTCTGCCACCCAGACAGTGGCGGGATCACAGCTCACTCAACCTCCATCTCCCGGGATCAATCAATCCTCCTGCCTCAGCCTCCCAAGTAGCTGGGACTACAAGTACCCACCACCACGCCTGGCTAATTTTTTTTTTTTTTGTATTTTTAGTAGATATGGGGTTTCACCATGTTGCCCAGGGTGGTCTTGAACTCCTGGGCTCAAATGATCTGCGCACTTCAGTCTCCCAAAATGCTGGGATTAGAGGTGTGAGCCATTGCACCCAGGATTCTATTTTTTGTTTTGTTTTAAAGAAAACTTTCTGATTATAAAGGGACACTGAAAAAAACCCTCAAATATGGTATTCCCAATTATTTTCTAGATGTGCAGAGTCTTCAGCAGTGCATTGGAGATAACGCAGAAATAACTAGAAAAGACTTGTACAACTATCGATCTTTCTGTGAAATGGAAGGGAAAGTAGGTATTTGATAAGAGCCTTATACTGAAAGGGAGATTTTGCATCTTAGTGCCTTTTCTAAGTTACCTTTGGTTAAGTCAATGTCCCTATCTGGCCTGCAAATCCCAGATGTGAAAAAAAAAAAAATTGAAATTCAATTCAATGTGTCTTTTTTTTTTTTTTTTGACAAAGTCTCACTTCATCACCCAGGCTAGAGTGCAGTGGCACAATCTGGCTCACTGCAATCTCCATCTCCTGGGTTCAAGCGATTCATTTGCCTGCCTCAGCCTCTCAAGTAGCTGGGATTACAGGGGTGCACCACCACGCCCAGCTAAACTTTTTTTTTGTATTTTTAGTAGAGATGGGGTTTCATCATGTTGGCCAGGCTGGTCTCGAACTCTTGACCTCAAGTAATCTGCCTGCTTTGGCCTCCCAAAGTCCTGTGATTACAGGCGTTAGCCACTGCAACCTGCCCAATGTGTCTTAACAACCTTATTTCCTTTATGTATCTTAGATTATTTAGGGCTCTTTTGACGATGAGTGACAGAAATCCCAACCCAAAATGCTTTAAGAGAAACATAAATCATAAACTCTTCAGTGAACTGAGGAGTCCAGGCATAGATCTAGGGAATGTAGATTCAGGCATAGGTGATCCTGGGATCAAAGATGATGTCATCAGAGGCCAGGGACTTACACCCATCTGTTAGTCTTTCCTTGGGGTGTATAGTTTTCTGTTCTAAATCCCATAGGATGGGCAGATAAGCACACAAGGTTCTGAGCTTTCATCTATGAAAAAAAGGTTTCTCACTCTCAACAGTTGGAAACATACTCTGCAGGCATGAATCTCATTGTCCTGAATTGGGTCATGTGGTCAGTCTCATCCAATCACTGGGTATAGATAAATGGAAATCACCTTAGGCCAATCAGTGTCCTCCCCTGGAGGAGTGGTGAACTCCCTTCAAACCAATGGGCTGAGTGTGGGGAATGACTATTTCCCAAAGAAATTTCTGGGCACTTTTTTTTATCAGAAGAAAAGTGAATCGTAGTCAGAAGAAACAACAAAGGTTTAACCACTGAAATTCCTGGGAATCTGAAGAAAGTGTTCATCTTCCCAGGCAATAAACAAATGTACTAACAAAAAAACAAAATCAAAAACAAAGGTTACATAAGTAATCAAAAAATTAAGAGACGCCATAAAACTTGCCCATGGATCCAGGTTACTTTTAGAAGATACTTCCTTTAGGAATTGTTCTCAAATCATGCTTGTCCTGCTGAGAACTCACCTGGCTGGAAAAGGCAAATTCTCATGTTCTGCTTGAGCCAAGGCCAGGAAGGAGCCCCTCACATAAACCCATCTAACTGAGGTGCCCTCCAGTCTAGGTTTTCACATATTCCACAGGCATTTCCGCACTTTCTGGCATGCATAAAAATAGCTACAGCCCTTTTGGAAGACAATTTCACAATATGTATCAATAGCATTAAACTACCAAAGCCCTTTAACTCAGAAATTCCACTTTGGGGAATGTAGCCTAAGAAAAATCACCAAACATACAGAACAGCTTTATGCATAAATATGTTAATTGTCCCGTTGGTATAATGAAAATGTGAATGTTCATCAATAGCCAATGGTTAGGTAAATTGTGGAGCACACATTTGTTGAGCTGTAATACAATCATCAAGCACTCTGTTTTAAATAAAGAATGTGACCCAACACAGGGAATATTAGCATTTTAATGTTGAAAGACAAAATCCAGATATGAGGTTAGATAAACAATTTATGCAATTTTGTATGCATATAGGATTGTGCAATCTAATGATTTATATAGAGGTATTAAAATATTTATTAAAAATTATGGAATTAAGCTGCTCTTGGGCTCCAGTAGTGAGTTCATGTTTCTTTTCCATCTCTATTTTTTGATTCTTTTGTAAGCATAATACACTTCATAATGAAAAAAGCCAACTCTCTTGAAATTAACAAATAAACAATAAATAAATGAGATGGTTATAGTTGGTAAAATGTTCTCTCTCAAATAACATATGGGAAAGGGAACACAAATGGGACGAAATAAGGTAAAGAAAATCTTTCATTGAGTTTTTCTTCATTGAGTAAAGGCAAAGATCTATCATCCTTGACACTTTCCCAACATGTTTCCGTGTTTGCTTGAACAAACGTAACCTAACTCTAACCCTAACCCTAACCCAACCTAACCCTAACTCTAACTATGTGTGAAATTAATGAATTAAGTGCTTGTGATACTAGCAAGTTACTGGGTTGAGGTAGCCATTGGAGAATGAAATGAAATCAGGAGGATTTGAAAATTGTACCTCAATGGAAGAGCTTTGTTCTTCGAAATTCTTGATGTTGGCTTTCTGGAAGATGCTGCCTTTGCACACATTGCTCTGGGTTTAGAGGATTCAGAATATAAGGCTAAAAGGGGACTTGCAGGACATGTTTTCCAGCAAGTTTTATCCATCCACTGTGAGTTCATCACACACACTTTACTATAGACAACACCTAACTTAGCAAATTGAAGAGTATTCAGGGTGACCCTTAGGTACTCAGAAACTTAAATAGTATCACTGGAATTTCTTTTTAGGGTGACCAACCATCCCTATTTGCTGGGACTGAGGGGTTTGCCAGGACATAGGATTTTCAGTGCTGGAACTGGGACTGTTGGTTGGTCTTCCAACCTGTCAAATCCATCATCTGGTGCTTCACACTTTACATATGTAGCATGTTCCTATCCATCCACACCTCCCCATCGGCCCCATCACCATCTTAGTCCTTCGCCACAATGCTAGTTTTGGAAAGCATGTCTGATTATGTCTATTCTCTGATTCAAATCCTTGAAAAACTTACTACTTGTAGAAAAGAGACACATCAATTACATGGCACTGTGTGGCCATTCCCCTGCCTGCCCTAGGTCTCCTCTCTCACCATCCTTCTCTTAGTCATTCCCCACACCCCCTTGGCTTCCTTTTGTCCTTCGTATTTACCCTGTGATCATTCATTTTATGTGTCAACTTGGCTAAGCCATGGTACTTAGATAATTGGTTAAATACCAATCTTGATGTTGCTGCAAAAGTATTTTTAGATGAGATTAACATTTAAATAAATTGACCTTTGAATAAAGCAGATTACCCTAATGTGGTTGGATCTTATCCAAACAGTTGAAGGCTTTTATAAATAAGAGACCTGAGTCCTCTAAAGAAGAGGGAATTCTGCCTCCAGACTGCCTTTGGACTCAAACTACAACATCAACTCTTTCCCGTGTCTCCAGCCTGCCAGGCTACCTTGCAGATTTTTGGACTTGACATCTCATACAATTGTATGAGCCAATTCCTTAAAGTAAAAATCTATCTCACACATCATATTGGTTCTGCTTCTTTGAGGAATTCTAATTAATACTTGCCCATATCCCAGAAAGTGGTTTTCCTATTATGGTAGTTATTCCTGACCTCCCTGACCAACTAAAATCTTCATGCTATACTCTGTCAAAATACCTTTATAACCCAGGCATAGAAATAGTACATACATTTATACAATTGTTGACAGGTGTCTGTTTCTCTGCTAGAAGAAGATGTTTTTGATTTACTATAGTAGGTGCTTATTAAATATTTACCAAATGAATAAATGCACTCTGAATGAGCTACAATGTGTATCTTGGGTCAATAGACACTGAAAAACACTGATTTATTCCACCCCCTTTATTTTATGGATGGGAAACTGAGGCCCATAAACTCAAGCATGTGCTGGGACCACATCAATTGGTTTTGCAATTATATCCAATTATTACTTTTGTGTTTAGAATTATTTTTGAAGAATACACAGTACCTTAAATAATCAGTAGTTGTCAATCTTAACTGCCAAACAATGTGAAAAATATAATTATCCAAACTCATGCAGAACCACTGTCATATCTTCATTCTCTCTGCCAGCGGAAAAATATTAGAGTGTGATCTACAAAGGGAAAGAGAAAAGGAGACTGATTTGTAACTTTTTCCTAACCTAAATCCTTAGAATACATATGAGTTTAAAAATCTGTGCGACTGTCCCTTTGCTTGCGTTTGAGAAATGAGTCCAGAAGTCCATTGACCACTTACCCATGATATATACTATTCATGTAGGCATTAAAACAATAATTACAGGGTATCTACTATATGGCAGGCACTTTACTAGGTACCACGAGGGAAAGGGCAGAAATGAATTAGGTGAGTACCGCCTTCAAATTGCTTATAATCTCTTAAAAATGATAATATGTTCCCAAGGCAACATAGAGTAGCACATTACAATTAAGCTTCCAACTTTTGTATAGAAGAGAAAATTCACTTCCTGCAGGATGTTTTGAAAAGGCATGATGCAGGATGAGGTTTTGGAATGAGGCTTTGAAGGATGAGAGGGATTTTGAAATGTAGACCTACAGAAAAGATCATTTAAGGTTGAAATACCAAGCAAAACAGCAAACACAAAAGCCTGAAGGCTAGAAAAAAACACTAGATCTGATTCGATTTTGTTTTGTCGCCTAGAGTATAGGTGAATTTTTATCTTTACTAATTTGTTCATATTTTCCATTCATCATTTACCTATTCATTCATTCAAAAAAATGTCTATTGAGTGCTCCCTCTGTGACAGTCCCCAATTTAGGTCCTAGTTACAGACAGAGGAAATCACAATTATTTTGGTCCCACTTTTGGGAGGTTTTCAGTCTAGTGCATGAGATGGACTTCAGTCAGAAACTTACTCTCTCGGTTATATGATTGCAGGCTGAGGAAAGGGCTGTGAAGTAAGGAAGCAAGTATCATGAGGACAGATAACAGAGGGTCCTGACTTGGTGGCCTCCATAGGGAAAGAGACCTTGAGATGAGAGCTAGGAGAATGAGAACTTAATTGAATGTGGAAGGGTGGGTTGACGTGGGGACTGAAGATCCAAGCAGAAGGAATGGGCTATGCAAAGGCCCTGTGGAGAGAGGAGCAGATAAACAGCCATTGCCTACCTTATTTATCTTAGGAATTTAATTTTTCTTTAGTCCTGTCTGTAGCTTTAGGGCTGCCAAAACTGGGAGTTTTTCCTCATAGCAGTAGGTTCCAACTGGCTGCAAAATAAAATTACAATAAGGGGTGTGTGTGTCCTCCTTCAAGCTACCAACCTGTGACCCTTCTCTCAAAATTCTGTTTTAAATGTTCTGAAGTGTGGCCTGAGCATTGGTATTTTTTAAAGCTCCCCACGGTTTTCTAATATGTATGTGGATTTGAAATCACTATCAATCACCAAGCTACTAAGTGATCAGTTCACCCAAATCATGAATCAACTGCTAATCGGTTGAAAGTGGTTAACCCAGTTCTTGAATACAGTTTAGCGACTCAGAGGTGGGGAGAGAGAACTTGAAAATGCAGAGGCTGCCAACATCTCAGACTTGTTAAAACTTACCCGTTGCATCCAGTTTCGTACTTCTTGGCTATGTGCTCACCAAATGGACTTGACTATATTCTAAATTAAATCTCTAGAAGCTGGCCATCAATAAATAAGCATGATGCTTGACCTCTCTGGCTTTCCTAGGAAGAGAGAGTTACTTTCTTTTGTTTCCTGCAGGGCTTTGGGGTATCTGTCTTGGCACTTCTGCCTTTTAATTGCTCTGTTTCTTCCCCCATCCCACAAGGGACTCTTGACCCTTTAGTAATTAGAACCCTTCTTGGTCTTCCTTGTATACATTTCTAGAGCCCAGCACTAATGTCTGCATTTAGTAGGTGCTCATAAACTGTTGGAGAGGCATGCATTTCACAGAAGTCTGGTACATGCTATTTCGAACACCTGTACATCAGGGACACAATGCGTATTCCAAGTGAGCCATGGCTCACTGGGAGGTGCAGAGTTAGACAAAGACAGATCTGGGTGTATACTCTGACTCTACCCCTTACAAGCTGGGAGACTTTATGGTTACTTATCTACTTGGAACCTCAGTCTCCTCATCTGTTAAACAGATTTTAGGAGTAACTGGGAGATTTAAAAAGGCAAAGTATGTAAAACACTCTGTACTGGACTGGAAGTTAGTAGGTCTATAGCAAAATGGGTAGGTTGAATAGATAATAAAAAGAGGTGACCATTCCTAAATTCAGGAGGTGTCACATTGGTCTAAGTTGAGAATTTTCCAGATTCTAGCCTTACTCTCCCTCCAAGAAAATTTAGTCTCCAGCTGCATGTTCAGGAACACTCCTCCATACATTCTGTACTTCTGTTTATTCATCTATCTCCCCTCCTACCCAAGTCTTAACACAGGGACAGGCCTATTATAAATACTCAGTAACCATTTGGTGAACTAATATGTTTGCTTCATCTGTAAAGTGGTGGCAATACTACCTGCCTGATTGATGGAAAAGAGCTGTGTCCAGTGCCCACTTGAAAGCCTTCCAGCCCTGGGAGGATAGTGAGTGGGGGGTCACCCAACCTCCCTGAATGACAGTTTCCCATATGTGCAATGTGGACCATCTCTGTGGACTCTCCCTCCAGCTGCTGCACTATAGTTATTCAAGAGCTGTTCTTTCTATACCTGGTACTCTGGATCAGGCCCATGAAAAGGGGATGAAAGATAAATTATTTCTGGCTCCATCTACTGGGCCAGGGCTTCTTTTATGAAATTAATTTGAGCTCATCAGTCTGTTTATTTGTTCATTCATATACTCATTCACCCAGTATTTATTGAGAATCTGCAATGTAATGTTTATTCCACTACATCTTGTAAATACAAAGAGGAATACTGCATTGTCTCAGCTTTCAAAATGACAGAAATATATTGAGGAAGACAAAAACATGAACCCACAATTTTAATGAAAGAGCAGCTCCTGCTCTTGTTACAGCTGCACTGTGAATGTCTCCAGTGGGGCGGGCCATGTCCGTGGACTGGTTTTATCTGCTCCATTTCTGTGTTGTTTCAGTTGGTCAGAGGGTGCTGTCATCACAGGTAGAAAAGGGTAGAAATGCTACCAATCATCAGCAAACCTCCTCCTTCTAGTAAGGCTCCATCAACAGACATTAGCCTGCTTTAAGCTGAGCTCTACTATAGTACTGGGAGTGTCCCATCAGAGATTCTCCCAAGGTATAGTGACTGCCCTTGAGGGAGGAACCAAAGCCACTCTCATCTGAACAAGTGGAGTGTTATGGATTATAGACTAATGAGACCTTTCCAGGTAAAGTGCCACATTGAATAAATCTCGAAGAACTTTTTTTTTTTTTTTTGAGACGGCGTCTCACTCTGTTTCCCAGGCTGGAATGCGGTGGCGTGATCTCAGCTCACTGTAACCTTTGTCTCCCGGGTTCAAGTGATCCTCCTGCCTCAGCCTCCTGTGTAGCTGGGATTACAGGCATGTGCTACCATGTCTGGCTAATTTTTATACTTTTAGTAGACATGGAATTTCACCATGTTGGCCAGGCTGGTCTTGAATTCCTGGCCTCAAGTGATCTGCCCACCTCGGCCTACCAAAGTGCTGGGATAACAGGTGTGAGCCCCCACACCCAGCCAAATCTTGGAGAATGAAAAGATATTCTCAAGTTAAAAAAAAAAAAAAAGAATGGGAAGGAAAGTGGCATAAGGAAGTATCTTCAGTAGCACAGAGCATTCTGGGACAGATTAATACAGTTCTGTGTGCTAGCACATAGGATGAAGGTGTTGGAGGAACAGGAGTTAAAGTAAGAGAGTTAAGCAGGCACCAAATCCAAAAGGGATCCTGGCTCCTCCTGACCCTGAGTAGCTGGCTTGACAAAGACCAAGCCTCAGTCAGGAATCAGCAGCACTTTGGAAAGGAAGGAAAACAAAATTTGCATCCTGGGATCCATGCCCTCTCTCCCACGCTGGGCGAGTCCCAGGGCTGACTCTGGTCTATCTCCACAGCCTGATGTGGGCGTCGCCTTCACTGTTACAGATTTTCCCAGCTCCTTATCACAGATCCTGTTCTTGTTATAGCAACGCTGTGAATGTCTCCATTGGGGCAGGCCAGGCCCTTGGACTGGTTTTCTCTGCTCCACTTCTCAGTGTTGTTTCAGTTGGCCGGAGGGTGCTCTCATGACAGGCAGAAGAGGGCGGAAATGCTACTGATCGTCAGCAAACCACCTCCTCCCCCAGTAAGGCTTCATGAACAGACATTAGCCTGCTTTCAGCTGAGCTCTAAGAGTGGTGTTTTATTTTTCATGATCCTAGATGTGGAGAATGAATTGACAGGTAGCCAACCAGAGCAAACTACAAAGCCTTGAGATATAATGCCTCGTTACGGGCTTGTAGAGTCCCACAGACCTGGGTTCATATCCTGCCTCTGCTATTTCTTAGCTCTGTGTCTTTACAAATTAATGACATTCTTTGGTCCATAATTTCCTTATGTGTAAAATGAGGACTATTAACACCTGCCTTCTCAGCTTAGTTTGGAGATTCAAAGAGGCAAGCACTTAAAGCACCCTGGGAGCTGTCTGGCACATGGCAAGCACATAATACATGTTAATAATAATGATAATGATAATAGTAATCCAAAATAAAATGTAATCAATTTGACATACCACAAGTTCAATAGAAGCAAATACCTGATTTTTGTTTTGGCTGCCAAAAAATTACAGTGGGAGTTTGGACAAGGTATTAGACTTCCTCTTGCCTCTGTTTCCCTTCATAATACATGACAGGAGTAGATTTGATGAATTATCTATGAGCATTTTTAGTTCTGATAACCTGTGGTCCCTGGAACACAACTGAAGGCTGCATATACACCACTCTTCATCTAGATGACTGTCCTGTGAGGTTCCACATAAAAATACAGTTTCATTGTCTCTTATTAAGTATCCAGAGGGTTTGGATTAAATAAAAAATGACCCTTCTAAATTTTTTTTGAAAGCTTTCACACTAACAACTCTTCCCTCAGTTCGGCAGCATGCATATATGTGGGCGACCCCATCAGAGAATCCATTACATAGCACCATCAAGGATCTGAATAACCCCCTTAAAAGAAGGGGAGTTCTTGTTTCCTGTTTTCTCAGCCCCTGTCACATAGCATAACCCATGCTGAGTTATGTGCACATATTTACTATGCACATATTTATTAGCCAAATCAATAAAATAATGACTGAATGAGTCAATGGATGAATGAACACACCCATCTAATTGCTCCTAAGGTTTGCAATAGGCTCAGAGAGGATGTAAGTAAAAAATTTCCAGACACCTTAACACCTCAGAGGCAAGAGGAATTTCACGTTCATTCTCTTACGGTGCTGGGAAGCTCTCCACAATATACTAACAATACATGTCCATGTCAAGGGAAAGAGAACCCAGGGCCTCCCCAGACAATGTGTTTCATGTTTGGGCAATTGTAACTGTGTTAGAGTCTTTCCTTCTATTATTAAGCCTGAGTCTGTCTCATGCTACAATTAGAAGAAGTGCCAGGCACAGATATGTTTCATCTAGGGAGGTTAATTGGCCATACAGACAAAACCAGTGTGTGTGTGTGTGTGTGTGTGTGTGTGTGTGTGTGTGTAAGCGGCAATGTCATCTGATGGAGTCAGCAAAGTCCAAGGGATTGTCTTGTCTTTGGCCTTGTGATGACATCCACAGCTGGCCATACCTAGGAAATTAATTTATATCAACCAAGTTTACAGGATACCAATGTATAAACTTGATCATAATTTAGTCATTTGAACTGTAGAAACTTCTTTCTCCATGACCAATATGTACCTATTCTAGGCATGTGGAAAATCAACCGGAACTTCAGCTGGTGGCTTAATGAGATAATTTTGAGACCTGTTTCTCCTAGACTGTAAGAGGTAGATGAAATCCTCCACCACATCAGAGGACACCTCTCAGAGTATGGAATATAGTACATCCTCCAGGTCAGTGGCACTTCCACAGAAGAGACCCATTACATAAACTGCCATTAGTTTCCTTTTTCTGCTCGGGACCACGTTCTGTCTGTTGCAGGATATGGGAACTTTGTATATTCAGTGCAATATGGAATAAACAAGGTCCATGTTTCCCACCTTTTCTCACTGTATGACTGAGTTAAGTATCTGTTTCCAGTGATGGATCACCCTGTGGCTTGTGTTTAGATTTTAGATAGGTAAACACAGTTAGGTCATTCTCAGATACCCTGTTCATCCTGATAAACTCATACCTTCCCACATTCCTGCAGGCTCTCATTTTCTGACTTTCTCTTGGGTTGGGCATGTTTACATGTCACATGGATGACATCGCTCATTATTTGAGGATTTTATCGAGGTTTCTGTCAAAAAGAGGAGCAGAACCCATACAAGGGTTGATAATACTACTGGTCCCCTTCTCCACATTGACTTCATCTGCCATATAGATATTTCTTGGGCTCCACTGGAAGTAGGGATGTCCACATAACACAGTTCTGGATGATGAGTTGTGGGAAATGCTTCGCCCTTCCTCTCCCACAGTTTCATCTTCCGCTCAGTTCTAGAACTCTCAGCTGTGTCCATTTGGCTGAAGAGAAGGCATAGAACTTGAGTAAAGGAGGAGGGGGAATGCTCCAGAAATGCAGTAGCCAGGCCCTTCATTCCTGGAGCTGCCCAGGGTGCACAGCCACCTGGGTTCCTGGCTCAGCTGCCCCACTAAACTCTGTAGATTGTGCAGTATTATAGCCAAAAATAATTTAAGTCTACAGGATTTTGATGCAAGATGTCACCTGGAGCTTTCCAGGATTGTTCCTCCTGCCTTTGGGATTCTCCTTGCCTCTCCAAGGGAACTCAGCCTCAGTATCTTGAACATCTGAGCTTCTGTCTCTCCAGCTGCTGGAGTTGCAGGCTGGTGTGATCTGACCCCATCCTTTAAGAGAATAACTCGTCAGGTGCTTCTGTTGCTTGATTACTGGTAGAAGAGATGGATGCGCAAAATCACAGATCAGGAAATGTGTGTTGATCTGTGAACTTGACCAAAGCAAGTGGAAAGACGCAGTAGATAATTTCATTCTAACAAGCATAGGCACAACAAACAGAAAAATGCCTTTGAATTCTGAAGGCATACAACTTTAGCTTACAAGTCAGTGCAGTTTAGACAGTAGTCTTCGAAGACAGGTCAATTTGAGTTTGAATCTTGATTCTAACACTTCTTAGTTGTGAGACTGTGGGCTGTTTACTTAACTTCTCTAAGTCTCAGTTTCCCCATATGTTAAATGGAAATCATAGAATAATCTAATTCCTAATATTAAAATGAATTAAATAAAGCAATACGTGTAAAAGCACTTGGCAATGTGTCTGGAATCTAGAAACTGCATTATAAATGACAGCTATTGTTATGATCATTGAGCTATTAATGATTGTGAAGTTGTGTTGTTTATTAAGATATTAACAGTTATTAAGCCTAATTTTTTATATAGTACAGAAAGTTGAAATTTTATAACTCATATTTGATAATTAATGGTGGCAAGGCCCACAAGATTAGATGGGGAAAGTGGGTTGGTTCATCAATAGGTTATTAATACCAAGCGACAATGAGAAACTTTTTCACCATTGTTTGCTTGTTGGGCAAGATGTCAGGAGCTGATTTTTTTTGCAGCTCAGTTCCAGAACTCTCAGCTGTGTTTGTTTGGCTAGAGAGAAGGCACAGGGCTTGGAAAATGAGGAGAGGGGTATGCTCCAGAAATGCAGTAGCCAGGCCCCTCATTCCTGGAGCTGCCCAGGGTCCACAGCCACCTGGGTTCCTGGCTGGGCTGCTTCCCTGACTGCCATGAGGGATCTTGCTTTCCTGTTCTCTGTCTTAGACAGATAGAGCTGGAATGATTCTTAGAGATTATTTAATCACATTTCCCCAGAAGTGACACCCAGAGAAAAGATAGGATAAGCAGAAGTTATGCACACAATTACTCAAATTATTATTTTCTATGTTTTATTCCCTGGTTATTTTTTCTGCTGTCCACTAAATGCCTGACTACTGATGTGACCAATGCCTGCTATAAAATATGAAAATAGCTATTCAAAAGTAGGAGATGATTAATCCTGAGCCCCAATTTCCCGATGGAAGAACCAGAACAGTGTATGAGACTGGGTGTCTACCCTAACAATAACTCATACATACACTGGGACAAGAGATCCTGGTATTCTCCATGTGTCATCCAACTTTCCTGTGCCCTCATTTTCTCACTGGAGAAATGGGTGTATGCTTCCAGCTGCTTTCCAAGATAACTTGTTGCTTACAGAATCTGATTCTAGTTTTTTAGGGAGTTCTTTAAAAAGAAAAAAAAAACAAAAACAGCTGTGCCTAGTGCCTAGTGTGATTTCAAAGGGCATCCATGCTGATGGAAAGGGTGGACATCTGGCTTTAACTGCCTAGTCCTCATGACCACACCCACTTGGGTGGATCTGGGCTCAGTCCGGATGGGAAGAGGTGTGTCTGAGGCCTGGTTCTATCCCTTTTTTTTCTGGGAAAAAAATTAGCTCTTATTTTTGGCCTTCCTTGGGCAAGTGTAGAAAAAACTCAGAGGGTGGTGAAAAGCCCAAGTGTGTTTTGTCCCTGGTTTCTGAGGCAGTGCATGCACACATTCTTTTTTCAGTACTCGTGTTTCTCTCAAATTGTTCACTGCCTGACTCTGTTTCCTTCGTTCTCTAGCTCATCCTGAGATCTTCTTGTTTCCTTTCAACAACGTGGCAAGTGATGTTGTAATTTCTTTATGGAGCATGGAAGACTCACAGAGATCAGTACCCCAAACACTACATTTTACAGAGGAAACAACCAAGTTATGGAGACCTGGCTTGTCTTCAAACTCATAGTAGAAGAGGCAAAATCTGGTCTCTGGGAGTCCTACCTAAAATGATTTCTTCCATGCCCCAGTGAAAATAAGTAAATTCTGGATATCACTGTCATATTAAACCAGGCTTCCTGGAAATTGACTTAGTGTAACAGAAAAAGAGCAACCTGTGGATTTGCAACTGTGCCATGATTGGAGTTGAAGCCTTCATCAAATTAATCAAGTTCTTTGCCCAGTGTCTCTGTCTGGACATTATTTAAAGCTTGAGTGAGAAGTCAATATGATTATGTGGGCCATATATCTGACTTTTATCCAGTGGGGAGAGTCCATGAAGGACTTGAAAGGGAATTGGTAGCTGATTATTCTGGCTAGAGTGGAGAGTGCATTAGAGAAGGTGAGGAGAGGCCAGAGAGACATCGTGCTAACCCATATGAGACGTGATGGTCCAAACCAGGGCCGTTTTCTTGGACATGGAGATCTCAGCCTCTGGGTGGGAACAGAGGAAGAAGCATTTTGTGGGTTGATGAGTTCCTTTAGGGCTGATCTCAGTGAACTTCTCCAAAATTCTATTTGACCCTTGAATTAAAATCTTGGTATAATCTTTGATCCTCCCTGTAATGTATCCCCAATGCCCATTAATTTCATTGCTAAGCATATCAGTTCTGCCTCTACAAAGTTAGTAATATCTTATTATCTATTGTGTTAGCCACTGTTTGAGAAGATAAAGTCGAATAAACAAGATATCACGATGGATTCGAGTTGAAGGATGTCAGGTTTCAGCAATAAAATAATTCTGCCTTATAAATCTGGTGCTTTGGTGGAGAGAACACTGGAGGAAAATACTGAGTTTGGTGAATGGACTTTGATCTTGGTTTTAGCCATGTTCAGATGTTCAAGGGAAGATTCCAAGGAGAGAGTTAGATAATCTGGTTAGAACCACGTACTTTTAGCATGACCTTGAGTAAATTGCTTATTCTTTCACAAACTCAGTTTCTTCATCTAGAAAATATGTAAACCTATAATACCTCTCAAGACTACTGTTGGATTTAAATGATATCTCTATAAAAGCATTTAGTATCATAACTAGAATCCTGTAAGTGCTCAATCATTGGTAGCTACCGTATTAGTTTTCTAGACCTGTCATAAAAAACAATTATCCCAGGCTGAGTGGTTTAATTTATAGAAATGTATTTTCTCACAGGTCTGGAGGCTAAAAGTCCAAGATCAAGATGTTGGAAGATTTGGTCTCTTCTGAGGCCTCTCTGTTGGCTTGCAAATGGCCACTTTCTTGCTGTGCTTCACATGGTCTTCCCTCTGCATGCACATCCTCAGTGAACCTTTCTGTGTCCAAAATTTCTCATCTTATAAGAACACCAGTCAGATTGGAGTAGAACACACCCAAATAAATGGCTTCATTCTAACTTACGTACTCCTTTAAAGGCCCTGTCTTTAAGTACAATCACATTCCAAGGTACTGGAGTTTAGGACTTCAACATATAAATTTTTGGTGGGGAGGGGGCAGATATAATTCAGCTCATAGCAGCTACTGTTTCATTATTTTACATTTTACTAAGTCACGGTGATAGGAATTTGGGGCTCATTTTTGTCTATAATCATTTTACAATATTTGTGCTTCTCTAACTGGAGAAGCTTGTGAAACATTACCATGTGGTCAGAATGATATGGCATTGAAATCAGACACTAAAGGAGACATCAGCAAGAGCATCGTCCATATGCCCTCAGCCTCATGTGCTCCTCTATTTTACCCTTCTTTGCATTAAGCACTAAGGCTAAATGATTTTGTCATCGTGGCACTTGCTGTGCCAGAGTGAAATTAATCTATGACCAGTACAAGATAGAAAATGCATTCTGCAAACCACAAATCATGCCTTCCCTTCTTGTTGGCTGTAGGTGATTGTTTGAGTTCTCTGAGACAAGTACGCTTACTTCATGTAATGAAAATAAAATGCCTAACTAATGTATCTTATTTTTAAAGGAAGCATCAAAACCTTCCTCTGTCTTTCTTCTGTCCAGGGGACAACTGAATCCCAGGTACTAATGCTGAGTGAATGGGGATGGAGGTTGGGGTGGGCAATGATGCCTTGAATCACTGCTGATACGCCAAGCCTCTGTGCATTGTACTCAGGGTCTCTCGCTCCAGCATTTCCTGTATCCAGCATCTTAAAGGATATTTTCCTTTATAGGAAACTAATCCAAAAAAGAAGATTCTGTAACATGGGCTCAGAACTACTTTCCTGTGCAGAGTATACCCTGAAATAGAGCCTCAAATTGGAGACAACCACAGGAAAGGTGACTTTTCTAAGATGAGGTATAGTCTATGTGAAAAATAACCCCTGAGCAATGAGATTTGAGGTGTATGAAAGTCACCCTGCATTTTGGGATTATATGCATTAATTTATTCATGTGTTCATTTATTCATAATTCATTTAACAAATGTTTATCATAGCGGTGGGGAGTGAGAGGTCCAGCTTTGAGAAAGTAATGAGGAGGAAAAAACACTAAAACTTAACGTAGATTTTCAGATATCATTTAAAATCTTCCCAGCAATCTTTTGGGGTGTGTCTTTTTCTATGTACTTAATAAATGAGAAAATTATGCTCTGTTCAATATGATTGATAATAATGACAGTGATCAAAGATTGAGCACCTAGCGTATGCCTGTACTGGGAGCTTAAAAGGATTATCTCACTTAACTCTCACACCGCCTTTTGAGGTCATTGTATTAGCAAAACCCATCCATTTCTCCTTGCCAGCATCTGTTCTCTCCTTTTGACCTCATAAAAGAGATCCTTACTTTGGGAAATTCTTTTCTCTCATTCTTAACCCATATGATTTCTGTGGGGCTGACACTACTGTAGGCTTCAGGTGTAGAGACCTAATTCAAGCATGGCCTAAAATGTAGAACATCTACCTGGATTGAATATTTTACCCAGGGTTTCCTTTTATAACTCAAAGCTTTGCTAAAACTATTGGTGAAGAGGCTCTCTCTCTTCTAGAGAGGCTAGGCACTTAAAGAATAGTTAAGTCTGGACCTGCCATGTACCATCTTGTCTACTTATAAATAAAAATCAAATGGAAATAGAGCTGGCAAGGGGATATCAGAACCCAGAGATGAATAAGAAATAACATTATTTGAGTGGCTACATCAAGCCACATATGACAGTATACAAAGCTTCTTGACTTTTGGGGTATGTGAATAAATAAATTCCCTTTCTGGCTGAAAATAGTTTGTGTTGTACGGCAGTCATTTGCAGGAGATATAGGTGATTACAGAAACAGAGTCATGAATTCATTAATTTGTCCAAGGCCACACAGATAGTAAGAGTTGGAGTGGAGTACTTGCCTAAATTTGTTTGGATTTGAGGATTGTTGTTATCCAATCCTCATTTCTGAAGTATGTTTTTTCTGAATATAGATATCTGTGTTGACAGTTGATCTAAAAAGAGACTCAAGCTTTTTTATCTAAACTACAAGCAAAGAACAATAGCTTCTGCCTCTCTATGTGGATTATTTTAGGTTAGGTTACTCCAGAAACAAACTATGATATAAAGATCCGGGTACAGTTTGAGGTAGAAAACATGTTTAACAAATGCTTATAAACATGCAGTCCTTTCTCTATGAGATCTTCCAAATTATGAACGCCCTGGGCACCTTGGTTACCACTGCCATGCACAGGATCATCTAAGATATATATATATGTATATGTATATGTATATGTATATCTGTGCATAACGCAGAGGGTATACCCAAGATACCCTCTAGGCCTCACTGGGGTGTTGGAGCTCCTGAATGACTCCCAGAACTTGGCTTCTGGAGATTTTAATATGGAGGTCTTAGAAGCTCTGAAAATCTCCTCTGGGTTCTTGGGTGAGATATTTGGAAGTGCCAGCTCTCACCTTCATTGTTTTGTAGTTGCCAGCTTCTGATCATACTTTTACTTTGCTGGCAGTCAAACATGGCCTTACCCTGTCTCTCCCCAAGTGGCCAATTTGGTAGATAATTCAGGAAGCACTGATGGAGGAAAGTGGAAGTAACTCAAGAAAGGGAAGACAATAAAGAACATGTAATTCACCAGCTTATTACTGAGGGAAGTTGGGATAAATTCTCCCTGAAGAAGTCCAGATACAGTGTAAAACAATCTTCTGTGTGATCTTGAAAGACAAGAAAGCTGGGATATTTTTCCACTAAGCCCTGTCAGCCATTGATTGAGAATTGCTCCCTTCACAGTTAATTCTGCAGTACTTCTGGTTAGTAGAACAGGTACTAGTGGCTCTAGTGACTAGAAAGAACCTTTGGGCAAAGAGTTGTAGGTGCAAACAATTGGAAGCAACCACATGAAGAAGGAGAGTGTTGAGGGGATGCAGGCAGAATATGAACAGTATCATTTAAAGTTAGAGTTAGACAGTGACAATTGCCTTATGCCTTGGTAGGCTATGGGAATGTGATGGACATAGAAAGAGAGAGGAGATACAGGATGGATTTACTCTTTGTTGAACAAGAACAGAGAGACAGGGACACAAATGTGATTGATGTGACTATGAATTATGTTGGCTGGTGGTAGTAAGTGGGAATTGTCTTGCAAATGTGACTCAAACCAGAACACTAGATAAAGTTTGAAACAGTTTGGTTCACACTCAGGCATTGCCAATTTAAAAGCAGTATCAGTCTCCACACTGTTTTGAAGGAGGTTTTATTTTAATAGTAGCTAAAGTGTAATCTCTCCCCAAATTTGCCCAGAATATTAATGTAAAACATCATGTTTCAGTGTAATCTTATTGGGCAGATTGTAAGTTTCTTGAAGACCATGATTCTGACCAAACTTGCCTCTATATACATAGAACCTACCTCACTATCTAGTACACAGACAGTGCTTGAAGCATTTTTGTGAAATAAAATAATTAAGGACTCTGAATAGATGGTTTATAGGACCCATGACTATATCAAAGCAGTCTCTCATGTTGAGAAACTCCTTTAGCACATCAGAGATGTCTCTGTCCACCTACCTGGAGGAAGCTGAGAGAAGATACACACAGAAGATCCTCAGCCACAAATCTTGCACCATGAGCAATTACACTCAGAGTATTTTATATTAGGAATGAGAAGTGGTAAAGGTTTTTTATAGACATAGGATGATCTGGAATGTGAAATAACTTTGAGGTTGTAATACTGATAGAAATACAAGGACCTTGAAAAGAGGTTTCCACACATTTTTATCTCTAGTAATATCCCTCATCTTGAAATCTACTTTGACTGATAGTAACACAGCCAGTCCAGATTTCTTATGATGTTTCTTTCACATATCTTTTCTTCTTCCAACCTTTTACTTTCAACCTAACTGGGTCTATATATTTAAAAGGCATCTCTTATAGACAACATATAGCTGGGTTTTGTATGTAGTTGGACAATCTCTGCTTTTTAATTCATGTTATTAGTTCATTTACATTTAACATAATTATTAGTAGGGTTGAATTTGAGTCTAATGTCATGTTTTTGTTTTTTATTTGTTCCTGCTGCCTCCTGTTCCTCCATTCTTGTCTTCCTAGAATAAATCTACTTTTTCCATTATTTTTAATTGCTGTATTGCTTTTTAGCTATTTCTTTACTTTTTTGTGGTTGCTCTAAAAATTACAATAGACATCTTTATTTCATTCAAGTCTATGAATAATTTTATATGACTTCATGTAAAATGTAAGAAATTTACAACAGTATAATTTTATCGCCTCATTTTGGTGCTAATATTGTTCAATATTTCATATGTGCATATGTCATAAATCCCTTCAAATGTAGTTATTTTTTAAAATTTATGTCTTCAGTTGTCCTTAAAAAATTAAGGAAAGCAATAAAAGATAATCTCTTACATTTATCCAAATTTTTACTATTTCCAGTGCTTGTCATTCCTTTGAAGTTCTAAAATTCTATCTGATGCCATTTCTGCTTCAGCCAGAAAAAAATTCTTAAGCAATTTTTGTGGTGCAGGTTTGCTTGTGACAAATACTCTCAGCTTATGTTTTTCGGAAAATTTTTTTATCCAATCCTCATTTCTAAGGTACTTTTTTTTCTGAATATAGAAATATGTGTTGACAGTTGCTTTTGGAGAATTTTAACAATCCTGCTTCATTGTTTCCTGGCTTCCATTCTTTCTGATGAGAAGCCAGATATCATTTATAGTATGGATCTCCTTTATATACTAAATATTTTTCCTCTGGCTATGTTTCAGATGTTCCTTTTCATATTTGTATTTCATCAGATAGACTGAAATTTCTAACTATGTTTCTTTTTGTATTTATCCTGCTTGGGTTCCAAGAACTTGGATATGTAAGTTAATTTCCACCATCTTTGGGGAAATTTTGGCCTTTATTCCTTCAAATAATTTCTCTGTTTTATTATCTGTCTATTTCTGGTACTTCAATTACACACATATTAAACTACTTGATATTGTGTCATAGTTCACTGGAACTCTGTTATATAAAATATTGAGTTATAATTTGCATATTATAAAATTTACTCTTCCAAATTATACAATTTGGTAATTTTTAGTCTATATGCAGGTTTTTGAAACCAAAACCACTCTCTAATTTTAGAACATTTTCATCAACTCCAAAATAAATGCTGTGCTCATGAGCAACCACTGCCTATCCTCCTTACCATTCCCCCTGGGCCTAACAATCATTAATCTACTTATTTGTCTCTATAGATTAATGTAATCTGTTTTTATAGATTTACATTAACTGTCTCCATGGATTTGTCTTTTTTGGACATTTTATGTAAGTGTCATTTAATATGTGGTCTTTTGTAACTGACTCTTTTCATGTAGAAAAATGTTTTCAGGTTTTTTCCATGTCATAGCATGTATCAGTATTTCATTTTTGAGGGAGGATGGGGTTCAGTAAAAACCAAAAAAATTATAATAGAGCTTTAACACTCGTAATTCATTTTTAATTTTCAAATAATATTCCATTTTATGGAGATACTCCATTTTGTGTATCCATTCATTAGTTGAAATATATTTGGGTTGTTTCTAATTTTTATCTATTTATAAATAATATGTATATAAATTTGTGTATTAGTTTATATGTGGATGAATGTTTTTATTTCTCTTGGAGTATAATACTTAGGAAAATAATTTCCAGGACATATAGTAAAGATACGTTTAACATTTTTAGGAACTACCAAAGTGTTTCTCAAAGTGGATGCACAATTTTACATTCCCAGCAGCAATAAATGAAGGCTCCAATTTCTTCACATCCTCACCAGCACTTGTCATTGTCTGTTTTTATTATATTCCTTCTAGTGAGTTTGAAGTGATATTTCTCTGTGGCTTTGATTTATGCTTTTCTAAAAACTAAATATGTTGAGTATCTTTTCATGTGTTTACTAGTCATTTGAACATCTTCTTTGGAGAAATATCTTTTCAAATTCATGAACCATTTTAAAATTTGTGTTATCTTTTATTGTTGAGTAGTAGAGATTGTGTATATTCTAGACACAATTCCCTTATTAGATAAATACTTTCTACACTATTTATCTTATTCTTTTTGTTGGCTTTTCAATTTCTTTATGGTGTTCTTTGAAGCACAGAAGTTTTAAATTTCTATATAGTTCAATTTATCAATTTTTTTCTTTTGTTGATTTTGTTTCTGGTATTGACTTCGGAAACCATCACTCAATCCAAATTTATAAAGATTTACTCTGAGAGACCAGGTGTGGTGGCTCACACTTGTAATCCTAGTATATTGGGAGCCTGAGACAAGATAATCACTTGAACCCAGGAGCTTGAGACCAGCCTCAGCAACATATCGAACCACTATTTCTAAAAAAAAAAAGAAAAAAAAATTAAAATTTAGCCAGGCATGGTAGCACACACATCTATAGTCCCAGCTACTTTGGAAGCTGAGGTGAGAGGATCGCTTAAGCCGAGGAGGTTGAGGCTGCAATTTGCCTGGATCATGCAACTCTACTCCAGCCTGGACAACAGAGTGAGACCCTGTATCAAAAAATAATAAGAAGAAGAAGTCTTATTCTTATTATGTTTCCTCCTAAGTAATCTTTAATTTTAGTTCTTACAGTTAAGTTCAATTATCCATTTTGAGTAAATTTTTGTATATGGTGTGAGGTAGAGATTGATTCTTTTGCATGTGGATATCCACATGTCCCAGCACCATTTATTGAAAAAAATTCTTTCCCTATTTAATTATTTTGTACCTATTTATTAATTTTAAATGATTTCTAAGGGTCTACACATGAATTCTATTGCTTTGCCTTCAAGTTTACTAACGCTTTCTTTTGTAATCTCCAATCTACTGTTAGCCTATACAGTACCTTTTTTTAAATTTCAGGTACTGTATTTTAAGTTCTAGAATATCCATTTAGTTATTTTCTATACTTTTTTTGTTCTTTCCTGCTACTACTTCCTATTTGTGCACTCTTTACAATAATCTTTCCCTCACGTCATTGAACACATGCATAATAATTTTAATTTCAATATCTAGATCATCTGAAGGACAATTTTTAATATTTACATATTTGCTTGATGGTTGCTTTTTTGCTTCCAATGTCTAGTAATTTGCTATAATATACTGGACATTGCAGATGAAACTAGGTGTCTGGATTATGTTATCTATCTTGATTAAAGCTTAAAGGATGCTTAATTTTATTCTCATACAGAGTTAAATTTTTGTTGGATCCTTCTGATACAACAGGTTGATTTTATTCTTTATTAGGGAGGATAGATATATTGTGGTTTCTCTTTAGTCATACAGTATGGCTCTTACTTAAGGCAAGGGCCTCAGCCTAAAGAATGGCATTTATGGGCTCTGAACTAAAAGCTGAGCATCAGCAAAGTCAGTGCAGCCTCTGAGGTCTTCATTCAGCCAGTTCTAGAGCAGCTATTACCTACTGGGCCTTGGAATTTCACCCAGGATGAGTGCAGCCAGTTCATGGACAAGGATCGGTGGTGAACCCTTGTCTACAGCACAGCTCTGTCCTCTGACAGCCTGTAGCAAAAATTCTAGTTACTTCAGGTCCCTAAACTCTGATTCTCTTTTCTTTGTTCAGCAAAACTAACTTTTCTGTTTAGCTTCTACTTCTCCCTGGCGTGGTTTGGTAAATCCCAAGGAAACAATCCGAGGTTAACATGGGCTAACCTCACATGTCTATCTTCTCTGAAGGATCACAGTCTTACTCTATCTATTTTCTAACACCTGAACATATTTCCTCCATTATTTTGTCTAGTTTTATGGTTGTTTACCATGGGATGACAAACCTAGCACCTGATACACTATTATGGCCAGAGAAAGACTGCATCCATTAACAAAAATAGTAACTGTGCGAGATTTGCCAATTTCTCTGAAATACTTGAATAACATCTGTGAAAATCCCTGTGAGCAGTATGTGACTATTGTCCAAAAGAAGAGTTAGAATAAGAACTTGAGAAGAAATTTAGGTTTGCAGATTGAAGTAGCTGAACTCTACAGAAGATAAATTTGTTTAAAAATGTAAGTAAGATGTTTCTGGTTATGGCTCAAACTAACTCTATGATCTTAGGTAAGTCACTTCAGTCATCTAAATTTCAGCTGTCAAATGGGTATTGTAGGACATATTCTAAAACAATAATACTAATACTATACTAATAGTAATTTTAATACCAATTTTAATTATAATGCTAATAGTTAACACTAATAGCTTTAATTTATTACATGCTTACAATTTCTGGGCACATGCTTAATTTAAATGTATGATCTCTGTTAATTCTCATAAAATGCTATAGATATTATTTCACCTCTTTTTGTAGATGAGAAAAATAAAACATAGTTTTGCCTAGGTGACATAATTCATGGTTGGTGGAACTAGTATTTGAACCCAGATCTACTGGATTCCAAAGCCCATGTTCTTTATCACCATACACTTTGCCTTCTGTGACTGTTACATAGACTGATTGGGATCACATCAGACCATATAGAAGAATGCACCCTTACTAGTATGAACCCAGCCACAATTTCTGCTTCCCTTGCTGTTAACCCCTTTCTTTCCAGTTGTGCAGAATTTAGGACAAGAAGAAACCCAAAAACTAAAGTTGTACACATGAGTCTTGCTAATCAATAAACCTTCAGATGATGGCTTTTGGTCCATTATTACTTTCTCTAATAATGTCTAATTTATACATTTCTCACAGGTTGGGTAGGTTAATTTACTAGGGGGAACAAATGAGTAAAAACCTATTAGTCTTTTTTTTTCTTTTCTCTGCCTCAAAAATTATAATCTTGGATGTTTCTGTGAGGCAATATTAATAATGCATTTATCATTTCAAGCCCTTAACCTCTTAAGTTCTTCAAACAGAATTAAAAGAATCCTGAACTACTAAATAATTGCATTATGCAGCTGAATGGAGAGAATGAACACCTCTAAAATGACACTAATGTATTTATTCTCCTCCTGAGAACTTCACTACTCAGAGTGAGGTGGACGCTGTCACTACACTTTGCCTCACAGCTTCTTTGGAACTTCTCCTCAATTAGGCACAGACACTTCTACCCCTAGCCATCTCTAGACTCACAGCCGTTTTTTCCCCAAAGCAGAAGGCCATACAAATGAAGTGCAAGCATGGTTAATTGCACAGCTTCTCCTTGTAAACACATTGCTCTTTTGTTTGTTTGTTTGTTTGTTTGTTTGTTTGTCTTTCTCTTCTCTGGTAGTTATTTGAGGCATGAGGACATATCTATTGAGCTTGTGCTTCAATGTATATCATTTTGCCAGTGACTTCTTAACCTAATCTAGCCTAGCCTAGTTTCAGCAGCTAAAGACTTTCACCACAGGGGCTTACTTTGCCCACTTTGGGGACCAGTGCCACTCAAGCTTAAGAATAGCTCACAAGACTGATCGCTACCTTCAGTGGAGTCTGGAATTCGTCTTGCTACCCTAGAATGTGTATATAGGGCACAGTCCCGACTCATTAATATTCACTCTTTCACAAACAGCTGGTTTCTTTTCTGCATCTTTCAATCTCATCTTATCTCTTCTCCATGAACAAAGGTCTACTTGGTTGGCATTCTAACTTCTCAGCATTTACCAAGTCCTGACTTGTTGGGTACTAAAGACCACCTTTTCTATCCATCTCACATCTGGCTAATTGTAGACACTTTCTTTCATTCATTCAAAAGCTGAATAAGTGATTTCATGGATGATTGCCTGAATGCCATCCTACCCAGATTCTCTGCAAATGATGGCTGGTGAAGTATCTTAACTTATGAATACAAGTACAGCTTTGCAGGGGGTTCTCCAGTCAGAGTACAGGGCCTTTCCTCACTGCCATTATTTTAATTTTATTCAACTGATCACTTTATCTGGCCTCTGTATTCCCCTGGCTGCCCACCTGCCTGGTGGCCAAGCCCAAAACTATGGTGATAAACTCTGAAGAATCATTTCATGATGCCCATACATTTGGATGGACATTGCACATATATTTAATTAGAAGAACGAGTCTTATTAGTAACTGAAATGCATTTTTCATCCACAAAGAATCTAAATAATGTCTACAAAATATGCTCTTTCACATTTTTCATAAGTTGTCTTCTCAGTCCATACAGATCCAGCTCAGATAAATAGTCCAAGTTCCTTTTCTTTATCTTATTTTTCCCTCTTTTCCTCTGCCATTATTACTCTAAGCCTTATCCTATGCCTCTGTTTGTATCCCAGGATACTGACTTATCCTTAAGGTGTAAGTCTTTCAGAAACCCCAGACAAGAATAGCTGCAAGACAAACTCACCTTTCTCCTTTTCATGGAAATGGACTCTTATAATTAATTTCCATTGTTTTTATCCTAACAAAGTCTCTGCCATTTTATTGTTCCTCCCCAAAGAGCATCTCCACACAAATCTTGGGAGAGTAATGGTAAAGACATGAGTGGGCCGACCTGTAATGCCAGCATTTTGGGAAGGGCAAGGCGGGTGGATCATCTGAGGTCAGGAGTTTGAGGCCAGCCTGGTCAACATGGTGAAACCCCGTCTCTACTAAAAATACAAAAATTAGCCAGGCACGGTGGCGGGCACCTCTAGTCCCAGCTATTAGGAAAGCTAAGGCAGGAGAATCATTTGAACCCGGAGGCAGAGGTTGCAGTGAGCCGAGATAATGCCACTGCACTCCAGCCTGGGTGACAGAGACACTGTTTCAAAAAAAAAAAAAAAAAAAAGACACGTGTGAATGGTATAGAACATTCTATTTGCCTTCTTGGATTGTCTACCAGGGACTTTGTGAAGTTTGCTTTGAACACTATTCAAGATTCATAACACCTTTCTGTACTTTCTTCTCACTTTATTTCTGGATAACTAAAGTAGATGTTTGGACACTTGGGAAGGACACAACGGTGTTCTTATTTTATGAAATGACTACCTGAGGACAACTAAAGTTAGACAATTCATCTAAGGTCCTATAAAAAATGTGTAATTTCAGAACACTAGGATTATCTTTTTTTATTTCTTTTTTATCTTCTTCATAGGCAACCTATGTTCTGGGGCAAGTATAGAGTGCAGTGTCAGCTGTCCAAGCACTTTCTCTATAGACTCAAGGCATACACACATGGAAATTCTCCCCTGTTTCAGACACTGCAAGAGTGTTTTATGATTGTGAACTTGAGGTTCGTCCTACCCTTGACAATGCAGATTCTTAAATAAAGGCATAAGAAGTTCTACAGCATATGTTCAACTTCCATAGATCTCACTATCTGGAAATAAACTTTATTTTAGTTAAGATTCATCTTGTTCTGGTGCCAATTCATTCTACTTAACTACAGAAGAGTGACAACAATATATTTCCTCAAGAATTCTCTAACAGTTGCCATCATGTTTGTAGTGCTATTCATTCAGTTTCCAATTGTTCCTTGAAAAAAACTACTGGATTATCTACATTTGACACATAAGGACACAAAGGCTTGGGAAAATTTATTAACTACTTCAGAGCTGTGTGGCTTATAAATAACAAATGATGACTCTAGAATCTAGGATTATCTTATCCCAAAGCTGAAGTGTTTCACTGAACTACCTTAGAAAAAGTTATTTTAGTTCTCATGTATTGCTATTTTCATAGTTTATCTTAATTTTTTTCTTCATTTTGCTCCATAAAGAAAATATAGGAAAAAAAATATGGGGAAAAGGGAAACACACACACACACAAGGAAAGAGAGAGAGAGGCTTCCTATAATCTCTACTTCCAAACCAAAGCATATTATTTTTAGGAGAAATCCTAGCTGTTTGATAGCCACCAAGAGAAACCACTTCCATTAGAAACCCAAGAGCAGTGATTACAGGTGATTGGAGAGCATTCTCATTGGCTGCTGTGTTTGGATTGCTCTTCTGTCTTAATCATAAATGACCTGACCATTGAGTGGCGAAATTCTACTCCTAATATGAGCCGAGTGCCTCTCATATCAGCATATCTTGTGAAGCGAATTAGCCATCTAATAGCTAACAGGCTGATGTGGAGAGAAGTCAAATGTAACATAGATTTCCCAGAAGGCTTCAAAGTAGATCAAGTAACACTAAAATAAAATTGTCAAACTAGAAAATGATTCTCGTCAGAAAAATTTTTCTCCCCTATAAATAAATGGCTTAGACCAGTTCAAGAATGATCATAAACCATGGAAGACCTAGCATAGTGTGGTTCCCAAAGTGATTGTTGCCATTTTCTATAGTTGTCCATAACATGTGGCTGGTCATTTGAAGACTGGGAACTCATTTATGCTTGAGAATTCTCCCCATTCCATGTCTATTACCCATCCCTTTCAGCGAGGCAGAAATAACAATGATAAGACTGGCCCCCAGCTTCCTGCAATTCTACTGCCTGGAGAATGTTTAAGAGACTTGTACCAGAACTTGCAAGGTTGCTTTTGCCCAGCTACAGGACTTTCCACCTTGTTCAGAGACTGCCAATCATAAGCATATGGGAAAAAATAGCAATTCCAATAATTATTAAGAGTACTTGCTCCCCTATTACCTATAAGGGAAATCTTGTAAATCATGTTATCATGAACAATATATTAATAGCATTCAGAGTCATACAGACCTTGGCTTGAATCTTAGCTATCTGTCTTTGAAAAAAGCAACTTCCTTTTGAGTATTAGTAACCTTATGTATTTAATGGGGTCACAAATTCTTAATTCTGTTATGAAAATATCGATACAATTCTAAAGCTAACATTTACTAAGTGTTTGCTCTGTGCCAATCACAACACCAAGTACATAACATGTACTCTCATTTAGTCTTCACAAAAACCTCTTTTATATTACCTTTATCCTTTTTTACATGAAAAGCTGAGATTTGTTTTATTTTATCTATTTTAGATTCAGGGGGTGCACATGCAGGTTTGTTACATGAGTATATGGTATGATGCTGAGGTTTGAGCTTCTACTGATCCTGTCACTCAAATACTGGATATAGTACCCAATAGGTAGTTTTCAACCCTTATCCCCTCCCACACTCTTCCCTCCAGCAGTCTCCAGTGTCCATTGGTCCCATCTTTATGTCCACGTGTACCAAATTTTAGCTCCCACTTATAAGTGAGAACATGCAGTATTTGCTTTGCTGTTCCTGTGTCAATTCACTTATGATAATGGCCTCTAGCTGCATCCATGTTGCTGCACTGGACATGGTTTTGTTCTTTTTATGGTTGCATTGTATTCCATGGTATATATCACATTGTCTTTATCCAATCGACCATTGTGGAGGACCTGGTTTGATTCCATGTCTTTGCTATTGTGAATAGTGCTGTAATAAACATATGAGTGCTGGTGTCTTTTTTGGTAGAATAATTTATTTTCCTTTGGGTATATACCCAGCAATGGGATCGTTGGGTCAAATGGTAGTTCTATCTTTAGTTCTTTGAGAAATCTCTAAACTGGAGAAGGTGAGACTTAGAGATGTTAAGGTTAGAGATGATGTATGGTTACTGTGCTATTACGTGGCAGTGCAATAATGCAAACTTTCATATTCCTGCTCTGTAATTCTTTAAACTCTGATGCAATGAATTCAATACCATCATTTTGCAAATTGGTGGGGATGTTTGAAGAATTAAGTTTAAAGGATTAGCTAGTGAGTGTCTGTCTTGAATTGGACTGGGATGGCCAAGGCTAACCAGTGTGTCTGACTCGTGGGGAATCCCTAAACCTAAGTTTTTCTTTCACTCTCAAAATAATTACACACCATCCTGACAGACAGGAGTCTGTGTCATTAACTGGGATGCTGAGCTTTTCAATTTAGGGAAGAAGGATCTGCAGCTCTGAATTTCCTAAGATGGTTGGACCATCTGGTCTAAATACATATTGACATCACAAGGCATAAAACCTGAAACACAACAGAAATTATTCCCTTTGCAAAACAAATGCTAGAGGGAGAAATCACAGAGTAATTCCACCAAATTTTGCAACAAGTCTCACAAGACTGTGCGTGTTAATTGCTTGTAGCTGCAGGTTAATACTGCCAGTTCCTATGTGGCAGCTAAGTGCCAAATGGCAGGCCCTTCAATCACAGAATTACTGACATTTGGGGCTGGAGAGGCCCCTAACACCAAGGCATCCCTTCCATTTTCCACCCATACAGCCCATTCCTCAAGACTAGTCTTAAGTCTTTTTGGCTAGTTGAGTTTGAGTGTTGAGGTTTGTCCAGAGAAGTCATTACTTCATTGTAGATTTAACTGTGGGGCGATGCTTTATTTGGTTCAAACTATTGTGTTATTTGCTCAGTTTCACTCATTAATTCTAGCTTCTCTTGAGAATGCTTGGTCTCTCACATATTTAAGCCCTCGGCTTGGTATGCCAAGTCCACCACTGATGTGAGGGGTGACCGTAGGAAGCTTATTTCTTCTCTCTGGTCCCTCGTTGTTTTGCCTGCAAAATAGAATAATTGGAAGAGATGATATCTAAGGTCGCTGTTTCTTTCTTTTTTTATTTCCTTTTTGTTTTTCCCTTCATTTTTTATTTTATTTCATTTTTGTTTGTTGTTTTGTGCTCCATCTCTGCCCTTCTCTCTCCTTCTTGCCGTATTCTATAACTATACTGAAATGGTCAATTCCTCATCCTGTGACCCCTAGCTACACTGGAGCCAGCTCTTACCAACTTAGATAAGCCAAGTATGCTCATTTCTTCCAAACTTTGTGACCAGCGATGTCTCCTTGGTAGCTTGAAATCAGCCAGTATGGAATTCAGCAAAGGTGACAAACTGCAGCTTGCCCTCCCCACCTTTTCCAGACAGCCCATTGTCACACATTTACCAGCACACCATTGCTGTGAACACTTTCTGAATAGAGTCTTGGCATAACTAACCCTCTCTAAGTTAAAATAACTATGAGCAAAATACATTTTTAAAAAAACACAAGGTTAGATTATCCAACTTTAAAGAGCTCACCTACGTCCAGTACTTGGTGGGGTGGGGGGACTTATATTGAAAGAAAGGGTGAGTATAGGCAGGGGAAGGGTTTTTAACCAGTTTTGAGCATTTTCTATGTACCAGGAATATGTTTTCTTAAGCAATCCTCACTACAGCTTTAAAAGATAGGTTTTAGCTTTCATTTTACATATGAGGAAACTGAGGCTCTGCAAGATTAAGCACATTGCCAGACTCACAGAACTGGTAAGTGACAAAAGGCTGCTGCTCAGTGACAGTCTGAAAGCTCAGCACCATTTATGTTTTTGCTCCTTTTAGCAAATGTCAAAGGTGTAGAATAAAACCAAACATCCTTGAGTTCACACAAAATCCATCCAGACCATTCAGCGAGAAACAACTAGGGATAACTAAAGATCCCATAAATACAGGCTCAGAGAGGATTTCAGGCTCACCTTATTTGGGATTTTGGAGGTGGTCATTTCACAGATCAATGTAAAGTTTAGAAAAAGAAATTAACTTGTGGACTTTATATTTGAAAAGCTTGAGTCCATATGTCTAGAATGGTCAGTTGGTTTTAATATCTTGAAGTACACTCAAGTTTTCTTAATTATTACTTTCTGCTTTAGAAAAAAATGTGAAGGTAATTTGGAGGAGGGGTCTTACTCAAAGTCCCCTGTAGACCTCTCTGTAACTTCACCTGCCCTAAACTTAGGGTCACTGTGACTTTCACATGGAATAGCTTGAACTCAAACCCTAATATATTGACTCTAAATCACATAGTTTTTCAGCCACCACACCAAGATGCTTTGCCATTATGGAAGGGAAATCATTGCCATTAATATCTGTGTCTAAGACACTCTCATCTGCAGCAACATCCCCCATACTGGTAAATTTCAGCACATCCCAGAATAAGGCATTAATTTGCTTCCTCTTTTTACCATTTTGATGCTCTCCCCCTGCTAATGGGAAACAGAAATGCTGGTCACAACAGGAGACCTCCAGGCAGAACATGGATGTACTCTTCAAAGGCATGGAGAAGGGGGGCCTCAGAACCCAGCTGCCCCACAGATGGGGCTCATTATCCACACTACCCTCCCACATTGAAGGGAGGCCAAGTGAGAGCCACAGAAAATTAGAGGCTTGTGCTGGAGAGGCCAGATGTGGAGACAACAGGGACATCCTGTCTCCATTGGCCTGGTCAGTGGGTTTGAGTATTCTTTGGTGTGGCGGACAATGTGGGCTTTTTCCAGCATAAGATGAAGGGCATGTTAGGAAGGCCTGTTAAGTTAAAAAGTCACAGGAAGTAGTTGCAAAAGAAAATAAAAGCATCATTTCCTAGAGGCTCACCTGTGCAGGTAGAGAGGGACCCCAAGCAACCGAAGGGACCTGACACTGATTGAGGCTCCACTGTGTGAACAACTGTACTTTAACACACAATAGAGTGGTAATTCTATTTTTATTTCTTTCAGAAATCTCCAATCTGGAGAAGCTGAGGCTTAGATATGTTAATTCCTGCCATAGGCTCAGGGACACTGTGACTCAGGACAACATTTTGACCTGGGGATTATTTTAACATTTTATAAGCAGCAGCAACAACAATGACAACAATAATACCCTAGAGCTCAAAGGGGTACAGTGACTTGGCCAAAGCCACCTGGTTATAAGACTCAAAGGTGGAACTTGAGCCTGTGTGTTCTTGTGTTCTTAACTCTGAACCTTCGCCCTTTACATCTGTGCTCCTCAGTACAGTCCTTGGACCAGCTGAATCAGCATCACCTAAAAATTCATGACAAATGCAAATTCCCAGGCCTCACCCCAGACTTGCTAAACAGTCAGAGATGTGCGTTTTAACAAACACTCCAAGTGATTTGGATTTGCACTAACATTTGGGAACCACAGTTTTCCACCGTGCTACTGCCCTCTGAAGAAGCCCCTAACACTAGTCTCCGTATGTTTCTAGTCTCTTCTAGTCCCTTTGGATTAAGGCTCTAGTTTTCAGGAACAGAGAAACAGCTCTTCAAGAGTTCTGGGTAGGACACTGTGAGATTTGGCTGTCTTCAGTGACAGCAAATCACAGTGGAATAACTTTGCACATGGCTCAGCCCAGCTTACTCTGGCTCAGTGGCTGCAGGTGGTGAGATGCAAAGAGGCAAGGGGATGGAACATGGCAAATTGCTTTGAGGCAACCAAAATTCCCTCCTGACTTCCTTAGTTCCTGACACACTTGGTACAATGTGCATGCTGGCTTCTCAGCAGATATAATGGTGAATGGTCCTGGGGCTTGGATCACAAAGAAATAAACCCTCCAATAATCTTTCATAATCCAAACGCATGCTCTCCCTCCTGGACTATAATTAATGAATTAACACTAATTGACCAATGGTCTGGGTCATTCCTATCACTGTGATAGGCCCTGCTTAGGCCAGGTGGTGTTCACATTGTTCATTTATTTTCCTACAGTTGTTTCAGGCCTTCATTAAAATGCCAACTCTAGAACATGGGAGTTGGCAGTTTTTATAACCAAACATGGCAAATTGAATGTTAAAAAGGCTAAAATCTCTTCCAGAGTGTTGCAAAAAAGGCATTGAATTAGGAAAGTAGAAATTTGAGTTAAAATATCTCAAGCATTCCCTGGGTACTAGCTGGTATCCAAACAATGGTCAGTACCAAATCCTGTGAGGAAATAAAAGTTATGGAGTCATTGCACAGGCTGAGATTCAGGGAGATGATTTAAGGAAGATATACCATAAGGGCCATTGGCCCTGTGGGTATAATCCCAGGAGATTGAGTTATGGTTGTTCCATAGGCACAGGCTTCCTGGGGTGATTGTTAAAATAAAAGATGTTGACTATTTTTATAAGTCGTTCTTTATCTACTGATAGGAACCACTGGAATAACAGGATGAAGGGGTCGGGATGGAGGAACTACATTCCCCCATATGCTCTGGGGTTAGTGCAAAGCAGGTAGAAAAATAAATGAATGTGATAACCCTGGTCAGCTCCCAGACCAGGGTTGCCTATTGTGTTTATTCTGAGTTCCATGTTTTCATGAGATGTTGATAAGCTGGATGAAATACAGAGAAGGAAATTATACCTCATGAGAGGCAATGGAAGGACTTGGAGATGTTTTGACTGGATAACAAATAACTTAAGAAGAATGAGGGGCAAAATCCCTTCTCTTCAAATGCTTCAATCTTAAGGTATGTCCATCATTAAAAATTTTAAGAAAAACTTTGGCCATGTTTGAAAGTATCTGTAAATAGGTAACACAATTCCTCATGGTTTCACTATCCCAACACATGGCCTATTTCTATATTTTGCATATTGCCTCTTAGAACTTCCAGTACTTCATTCTCTATGGCTTCAAAAATGCAATCCGAGGACCAGTGATGAAAATTCCAAGGGGGCCATGTGTATTGCATTACAAATAAGAAGGTCCACATGTTCAGTGCATTACAAATAAGAGGGTCTGCATAATCAGAGCCATGTAACACTGGAGTCAGACACTATGCTGGGGATGAGCTCTTTCCTTTTGGAGTTGTTCAAGTATGAACGGAGAGGGTGTCTGTCAGTAAGGCTGCCAGGAGGCTTTCTGGTGGAGTCACTGTTTGCTCAGGATAGCTTTTACAGTGTCTTCCTACTCATAAGTGTGCACGGGTCTGTGGTTCCAGTATAGCTATCATACTTCCTTTCCTGAATCATCGTTTCAGAAAGTAAATGGCAAGAATGGAACAAACATGTTTTTCATGCCCTTTGCTTGCCAGATCTATCCTTTTGGCTCCTTTACATTATCTCTATTCTCAGGACAAACTTTATGAAACACCTATCCATTATTTTTGTATTGCAGATGGGTGTCTTAAGACAAATTTGCCCCTAAAAAGTAGGACAATGACCAAACTGATCCAAAATTCAAAAGACTCAAAACTGGAGAGTAGCTGAACTACAGAAGTCCTTACCACGGACAAGAGCCAGTGAGGCTTCAGAGACTTCAGCATCAAGAGTTGCTGGATGTTTACATGTCTATCCCCCATCAGTAAGACTCAACTACCACAACTCTTGAGATGCCTCCTTCTGCAAATTATTTTTCAGAAGAATCTTATTGGTTTAGTTCAGCCAGTGGACCAGTTTTCATGTGTGTCCGTGTGAAGAGACCACCAAACAGGCTTTGTGTGAGCAACATGGCTGTTTATTTCACCTGGGTGCAGGCGGGCTGAGTCCGAAAGGAGAGTCAGCAAAGGGAGATAGGGGTGGGGCCGTTTTATAGGATTTGGGAAGGTAATGGAAAATTACAGTCAAAGGGGGTTGTTCTCTGGTGGGCAGGGGCGGGGGTCACAAGGTGCTCAGTGGGGGAGCTTCTGAGCCAGGAGTAGGAAATTCACAGGGTTAATCACTCAGTTAAGGTGGGGCAGGAACAAATCATAATGGTGGAATGTCATCAGTTAAGGCGGGGCAGGGCCTTTTCACTTCTTTTGTGATTCTTCAGTTACTTCAGCCCGTCTGGGCATATACCTGCAAGTCACAGGGGATGCGATGGCTTGGCTTGGGCTCAGAGGCCTGACATTCCTGCCTTCTTATATTAATAAGAAAAATAAAACAAAATAGTGTTGAAGTGTTGGGGCGGCGAAAATTTTTGGGGGTGGTATGGAGAGAGAATGGGCGATGTTTCTCAGGGCTGCTTCAAGCGGGATTAGGGGTGGCGTGGGAACCTAGAGTGGGAGAGATTAAGCTGAAGGGAGGTCTTGTGGTAAGGGGTGATACTGTGGGGTTGTTAGAAGAAACATTTGTCATATAGAATGATTGGTGATGGCCTGGATACGGTTTTGTATGAATTGAAAAACGAAATGGAATAAGAGAAGGAGAAAAACAGGTATAAAAGGTCTAAGAATTGGGAGGACCCAGGACATCTGATTAGAGAGTGCCTCAGGAGATTCAGCATAGTCCTGCCAGCAAAGATTATTTATTTACTTCAAGAGTTTAGAGTGGCAGTTTGGGGATAGCACCAGGAGATATCAGCTGTGATGGCTTGGAGAAACAGTGTAAACCGGCAGTGTAAACAAGAGCAGGGCACGTATGAGTAGTTGAGAACGATGAATAGGAGTATGACTAGACAAAAGATAGTAGGGATGACAAGTTTTTTTGGGGGCACAGTCTAAGTTGCTCTGGTGTCGAATGAGACTGGGGCCTAATAAAAAGGAGCGTCTATACAGGAGCTTAAATGGGCTCCTGTACACCTTGTAGCATTCTGAGGACAGGCCTGAATTCTGAGAAGCAAAAGTGGTAAAAGTATTGTCCAGTCCTTTTTAAGTTGGTGGCTGAGCTTGGTGAGGTCTGTTTTTAAAAGACCTTTAGTCCACTCTACTTTTCTTGAAGATGGAAGACTGTAAGGGATATAAAGGTTTCACTGAATACTAAGAGCCTGAAAAACTGCTTGGCTGATTTGACCAATAAAGGCTGGTCTGTTATCAGACTGTATAGAGGTGGGAAGGCTAAACTGAGGAATTATGTTTGACAGAAGGGAAGAAATGACTGTGGTGGCCTTCTCAGACCCTGTAGGAAAGGCCTTTACTTATTCAGTGAAAGTGTCTATTTAGACTAAGAGGTCTAATAGTTTAGTTTCCTGACTCGGGACATGTTGAGTAAAGCTAATTTGCCAGTCCTGGGTGGGGGCAAATCCTTGAGCTTGATGTGTAGGGAAGGGAGGGGTCCTGAATAATCCCTGAGAATAGCAGATGGAACACTGAGAAGTTATTTCCTTGAGGATAGATTTCCACCATGGAAAGGAAATGAGAGGTCCTAAGAGGCGGGCTAGTGGCTTGTACTATAGCATAACCTGCCTTTGCTGGTGTGTGGCGATTAGGCCTGGTGGAACTGCCACCAATAAATCAAGCGTGATCAGGGTGAGGAGCAGGAAAGAATGAAATATGGGGAAATGGGGTGAATATCAGGTGGATCAGAGAGATACAGTCATGGGGGTCACGTGTGGTATTAGGAATAATGTGGGAGGCTGGACTGAAGTCCTGGTCAGGAACAATGGTAATTGTGGGACTTAAAGAGTGAGTACAGCTGAAGGAGCCGGGGAGCAGAAAGTATATGCATCAGGTATGAGGAAGAAAATAGATTTTGGAAGTTATGAGAACTGTAGAGAGTGAGTTGAGCATAGTTTGTGATTTTTAGGGCCTCTAACAGTATTAAAGCAGTGGCAGCCGCTGCACGCAGACATGAGGGCTAGGCTAAAACAGTAAGGTCAAGTTGTTTGGACAGAAAGGCTACAGGGTGTGGTCCTGGCTCTCGTGTAAGAATTCTGACCACACTAACCATGCCTAGGAAGGAAAGGAGTTGTTCTTTTATAAGGGATTGAGGTTTGGGAGATTAATCAGACACGATCAGCAGGGAGAGCACGTGTGTTTTTATGAGAATTATGCCGAGATAGGTAACAGATGAGGATGAAATTTGGGCTTGACTGAAGTAATGGGGGCTGTCTGTGAAGCCTTGCGGCAGTACAGCCCAGGTAATTTGCTGAGCCTAATGGGTGTCAGGGTCAGTCTAAGTGAAGGCAAAGAGAGGCTGGGATGAAGGGTGCAAAGGAATAGTAAAGAAAGCATGTTTGAGATCCAGAACAGAATAATGGGTAGTAGAGGGAGGTATTCAGGATAGGAGAGGATACGGGTTTGGCACCACGGGGTGGATAGGCAAAACAATTTGGTTGATAAGGCACAGATTCTGAACTAACTTGTAAGGCTTGTCTGGTTTTAGGACAGGTAAAATGGGGGAATGGTAGGGAGAGTTTATAGGTTTTAGAAGCCCATGCTGTAGCAGGCGAGTGATAACAGGCTTTAATCCTTTTAAAGTGTGCTGCGGGATGGGATATTGGCATTGGGTGGGGTAAGGGTGATTAGGTTTTAATGGGATGTAATGGGCATGTGATCGGTTGCCAGGGAAGGAGTAGAGATGTCCCATACTTGTGGGTTAAGGTAGGGGGATATGAGAGGAAGACGCGAAGGAGGCTTTCGGTTGGGGAGAAGGGTGGCAATGAGATGTGGCTGTAGTCCAGGAATAGTCAGGGAAGCAGATAATTTAGTTAAAGTGTCTCAGCCTAATAAGGGAACTGGGCAGGTGGGGATAACTAAAAAGGAGTGCTTAAAGGAGTATTGTCTAAGTTGGCACTAAAGTTGGGGAGTTTTAAGAGGTTTAGAAGCCTGGCCGTCAATACCCACAACAGTTATGGAGGCAAGGGAAACAGGCCCTTGAAAAGAAGGTAATGTGGAGTGGGTAGCCTCCGTATTGATTAAGAAGGGGACGGGCTTACCTTCCACTGTGAGAGTTACCGGAAGCTCGGCGTTCGTGATGGTCTAGGGGGCTTCCGAGGCGATCGGGCAGTGTCAGTCTTCAGCCGCTAAGCCGAGAAGATCTGGGAAGGAGTCAGAGAGCCTTGGGCCAGAGTTCCAGGGGCTCTGGGAGTGGCTGCCAGGTGAGTTGAACAGTCCAATTTTCATTGGGGTCCCACACAGATGGGACGCGGCTTAGGAGGAATCCCGGGCTGCGGGCATTCCTTGGCCCAGTGGCCACATTTCGGGCACGTGTAGCAAGCTCCTGGGGAAGGAGGTTCTGGAGGAACGCCTGGCCGCTGCGGTTCAGGCGTTTGGAAGTTCTTGTGTGCTGGAGATGTGGCTGGGGTTTGTCTCACAGTGGAGGCAAGGAATTGTAACTTTTTTCTGTTATTGTACACCTTGAAGGTGAGGTTAATTAAGTCCTGTTGTGGGGTTTGAGGGCCAGATTCCAATTTTTGGAGTTTTATTTAATGTCGGGAGCAGATTGGGTAATAAAATGTATACTTCAGGCCATCTGGGCGTATATGTGCAAGTCACAGGGGATGCGACGGCTTGGCTTGGGCTCAAAGGCCTGACACCAGTTTGCCTTGGGTCAGGTCCAATAAACTACGATGAGGGTATGAGCTTGCAAAGTGATTCACGTGGATGCCTTGGTTTGCAACATGTGCAGGTTGTGGTGGCAGGGATAGTGGTGGAGTTTTCTTAGAAAGATATGAGTAGGAAGCAACAGTCCTTATTTCTGAGAGAGTCTTACAGTTGCCTAAGATCTCACCACTATAGATCCCAAAGTCTATGGTCAGAACAAAATCTATCTGGATGTGAAGTCCCTGATCTTGCTGACATATCTGGTAAAGGCAGCATAAGGCTGACTCTCAGAGAAGCTGGTCTCTTGTTCAAGGTCACACGTCAGTAGGAAATGCAAGAGAGTGTTGTTCACCATTGTTAACTCTGTCCAACAGTGGAACATGCTGGAGAAGAGCCCATCCAGGCATTCATTTCGATCAGTTGTATTAACAGAGTTGCAGAATTTAGCTGGGTTCCATAGTTAAACTGATGTGGATTCAGGTCCAGAATCTGCCTTTTGTCAACTGTGTGATACTAGGCCAGTTAATCAATGGATAAACAAAGTACTAGTTCTGGGAATCCAATCCCTGGATTCTAGGAACCTCAGTTAATCTGAAATGAGGATTTTCAGCAATATCCTCTTTCAAAGCCACTCCCAATCTCAAATTCTGATAAGGGTCTTATGCAGGAGTTGGCAAACAATATCCCATCAGTCAACTCCACCCATTTTTGTAAATAAAGGTTTATTTGAACACACCCACACTCATTCATTGGCATACATGGCTGCTTTTGCACTACAATGGTAGAGTTGAGGAGTTGCAACAGAAAGTGAATGACCTGGAAAGCATAAAATATTCACTGTCTGACTCTTTACAGAAAAAGTTGGCTGACTCCTGGCCCAAAGGGAATTTATTTATTTCTGCCTTCAACTCCCATGCTGTTTTGCGCAGTTCTTGCCTTTCCTTGGTATTGTTCCCCTTCCTTTTATGAAAACTTAGAGACCAATCTTTGAACATATTCTCCCTGGGATCAAATCCCAGCTCTGCCACTCACAAATGGTGTGAGCCTTGGAAAGTCCCATTAATTTCCTAAGCTTTAGTGATCTCTAGAAAATAACATTAGACAGATGTATGCCATAGTGTTTTTCTGTGACTTCAAAGGTATAGTCCATGGAAGCTGCTTAGAAAGTGTCCAGGGGATGTTAGCTACTATTACGATGACTGTTCTTTTCTTTTTTAAAAAAAGTTATTTTTATTTGCACAAATTAATGGAGTATATGTGAAATTTTCTTATATGTATATAATGCATAGTAACAAGTCAGGGAACTTAGGGTGTTCATCACCAGTGCACACTGCATTTGTCTTAACTATAGTCACCCTACTCTGCTATCAAATATTGATTTTATTTTCTTAATTAATCACTCTGGGCAAGTTTCCATCTCCATGTTTCTTAACTAAGGAGTTTGACACTTAATACCTGGTAGCTCATGGTTAATACATGGTCTGGCCCAGAGTAAACACATTATAGGAAAAAGAGATATCTATTTTAATCCTCACAACATTCCTACTTTGGTGACAATATCACTGTATTTCACACAGGAGGAAAATCAGAGTTAGGAAGGTAAGCATCTTACCCCAAATCCCAAACCCTGTGAAGATCAGAACCAGGATTCAACCCCAAGGTTAAGGCCGTCCTCTACACCACCTAGAAATGCCAAAGTTCATAAGGAAACAATAATCCAGAGAGTTACCTTTCAGCACAGTGATCCATTTATTTCCAGTTTTTTCTTTCTTTTTGCATGATTTTCTTTTATACATAGTTGATATCTGTTTGTTTATGAATGAGTATAACTTTATATCTTGCTTTTTAAAAATACACTATTACAGATGTATTATCATCAGAAACTCTTGGTAACCATAGCTGTAAATGACTTAATAGTCTGCATAGTATCAGTACAAAGTATGAATATGTACATCAGAATTTATTCACACCAGATTTCCAGCCAACCACGTGTTACACCCCCCTTAGAGCAGGAATAGGTACAAAAGCCTGCTGTCTGCAAGTGCCAGGGAGGACTCGCAGGATGCCTCTGCCCATTCTCTCCCCAGAACAATGAGTCCCAGACAGTGCACAGAGGCCCAGATTCCTGAGACCGCCCAGTCCAGGCAAGGAGTCAGGTCTCCCGGCCGTCCTCCTTAGGTTAATCAGAAGCAGGCACGCTCTGCTGAACTGGCTACTCAAAAGAGAATACAAATGCCTAAGTCTCAGGGATAGAAGGTGGGCTCCACCAAAAACACACATACACCCTCCCCTTCCTTTCCCCCAGCACAGGAAGCTTCAGGCTAAAGGCCTATATGCCTCTCATGCATCCATATTCTGCATCTCCACCCCCTTCCCCAGCCGTGGGGGTTGAAGTTTCATTACATATCTCAGGAGGGGTCGTCATTCTTTTTCAATGAACATCTGGCCTAAGAGATCTCCTAATTAAAACCACCAACTAATTATTATCACCTACTCTTTCCACTTGTTGTTTATGATTTCCGTGTACTCCCACCTCACCCCCAAAACACATGGATTCCTTCAGGAATGGTTAGTCTCTCTTAGCTCCCCCCACCCACTTTAATGAGTCTTATGTCCCAGCCTTGTTTCTCAAGGAACTGGAGGTCTGGGACCCTGATTACTACCAGGGTTTCCAATTGCCTATTCTCCCCCTGGCCTTTCTGAAAGGATCTATTGAGAAAGAGGTCATGATTAAAGCCCTCAGAACAAGCAAAGTGTAATTGAAGCAGTGCCTGGCGCCTCTCTGCTTAACCTCCCTCCCCATAAACTGCAGCCAAGCACAGCAGGCTGCAGACCCCCTTCCTACATCTCTCTCTACAAAGGAAAAGTGAAGTGTGAAGTGGGGGCGGGGCCATCCCAAGTCTCTGCAAGCCAAAAATGCAGGTAGCTAAGAGGAAACATCTTTGACACGTGATGAAGATATTTGGGAAAATCGATGCAGAAAAAAATTATGTCAGACTTGTCACAAAGAGAGTGAAAAATGTATTTATATTGCATACACTTTGGGTTCATACATGCAACTCAGACATTAAAGGTTATGAGGGACCCCTCAGGAGGGTGGTATGATGTGGTAGAAGGAGGCTGTGCTTCTGAAATGTTCTGAATCCTCAAGATGCCCAGTATTGCCCTGGCTGTAAAAAATCTTGGAGTAGTTACTTCATTTTTAGCTTCATTTTCTTGCAAAACTCTTCCTTGCAAGGTACTGGGGAGGACTCAAGAAGCTGGCTTGAGTATCTAATACAGTCTGTGCATAAAGCTGTTTACTCATTGTAAATGTCTATCTTTTCTTTTCCACACATGCATGCACGTGTGTGTGCGCACAGGCACACTGAAACACCAATAGTTATAAAGCATATAAGCTAGGTACCATTATTTTAACTTGAGGGAATAATGGCTAAGATATGATTATTATTAAGAAGGGAATCAAGCCTTCCTTGGAAGCTACCTCAAGAGCTCTTAACATATTACTACTCTTGGACGCTGATAAGTGCACTATGTTGCATATAGAAAGATACTTATTACAGCATCATTTATAGTCCCAGGGCAATTAAAGCAATAAGGGAAATAGCTGAAACATACACTCAGAGTTTACTGGTGTGAATAAATTATGATATACACATTCATACTTTGTACCAATACTATGTGGACTATTACATCATTCATAACTATGGTTACCAAGAGTTTCTGATGATCATATGTCCATAATAGTGTATTTTTTAAAAAGCAAGATATAAAGTTATACTCATTCGTAAACAAACAGATATCAACTATGTATAAAAGAAAATCATGCAAAAAGAAAAAAACTGGAAATTAATGGATCACTGTGCTGAAAGGTAAATCTCTGGATTATTGTTTCCTTATAAACCTTGGCATTTCTAAGTTGTGTAGCGTATGGCCTTAACCTTGCGGTTGAATCCTGGCTCTGATCTTCACAGGGTTTGGGATTTGGGGTAAGATGATTACCTTACTAACTCTGATTTTCCTCCTATGTGAAATAAGTATAGTGATAATGTCACCAAACTAGGAATGTTGTGAGGATTAAAACAGAAAATGCATGTAACATGTTTAGCTTGGCACATGATACTATAGTTCATTATGTTTTCCTGGTTAAAAAAATAAGTTGGAATGGGAGGAGCAAAAGCCCAACAGAGACCAGGAGAGTGGAACTTCACTGACAGAGGATGCAGCTGGGGCCAGGCCTGTCTGGTGCTGAGGGGGGGTGCCTGGCAGCAGTGGCCCAGTCCCTATCTCTTTCCACAAACAAACAAAACCCTTCTGGAGTGAAACTCCACACTGACCATCTGTGTTCATTCAACACCCACATTCACCCTTTTCACCCCCTGCAGGTTCCATTTTCAGCTTTTCCTTCTCTTTGATGTAGATAAAAATCTGCCTGGAGCAGCCAAATGTTTTAAAGTGGTGAGATTTAGACTGCAGGCCCCTGCCTGTGTCGGAGAACATTCTTAGCCACGTGGAGGAGACCAGATTGAGGTCAGCAGCACCTGGTGAAGGGGCCTGGTTCTTTCCTATGCTAAGTACAACACTGAGCCAGCCCATGGCCCGGAGTCTGCATTGGAAATAGGGGCTGTGTTCTGACTTCACTCAAGAAGCCATTAAGTGGAAGACTGTGGGTTTCCTCTTCAAACTCTGTCCCTGCTTTCTGTCTCTCTCTCTCTCTCCCCCTTTCTCTCTCTTTCTCTCTCTCTCTCTCTCTCACACACACACACACACACACACACACACACTCCAAGATCTTTTTGGGGGCCCTAAATGCTTCCCAAGAATTTCTGTTATCCATTCCTATTCCTGCAGAACCACACATACTTCTCTAGTGCACAACGGATATTATTTTTCAAGGACTCATATAATCTTGGTTTTCTCAATTTGGTGAACATTTCACAAAGGTGGGAATTGTATCTGATATGTTTGACATTGTATCACCAGTGCAATACAGTCTGGCAAGATAGATAGTTTGGTACCCAAGTGAATAAGTGAATATACCAGTAGAAGCTCTAACTGAATTTAGGAGCCCTGACTAATCAGAGTCTTGAGAGTTCCTGGCTGTAGAGAGGCAGGGAAGGTGATGCCATTGTATGGGACAAGACTGGCTGAGGGATTCCAATGGTCCATAGCTCACTTATTCTTTCTGGCTTGCTAAGAAGCATGGAAACTCAGGGCCCCAACTTTGTTTGTTCTTTGTCTGTGTGTGTCTGTATGCACTTAGGGACTTTTGAGCTTAGTAATCATGACCTTGGGGGTAGCTATTATGATGCTCTCACTGAAGCTGTTTTCCTCTGTAGCCAGTCGTGTGCATTTCTGATCTCAGTGTACAATGTATGGCATGCAATAGACCCTCAGTTAATGTTTGCTGCTTCTTAAAATATTAGAGTGTGCAAAGAAGACTTGTAAACTAAGAGCAGGAGGCTCCAAAGACAGGTTTAATTTAAAACAAAACAAAACAACAACAACAAAATAACTCTCTTGTTTCATGTAAGTCGGACCAACAGAGGTTTAATAAACCTGTCTGCCCAGTTAGTTTGCTCAGGGAGGATCAGATGGCTACCTGGTGTCTTAAGAGAACAGCAGCAACCTCACAGGGCTCCTAGGGGATACCATCGTCTTTGGCCATGGAGCTAAGTCTCACGGCACTGTGCAACAGGGCCATCACTGAAAACCAATCAGCAGCTCCAAACGTGATCTCACAGTCTTCAGACACAGCTCAGGACTCCAGTCACTGCTATGTGATTCGAATGCACATACCTTTTCTATGCCCGTTTGGTTTCATATTTCAGTTTCATGCTAGGAATCGGGATTTTTGTGGAGCTGACTCTTTAGTTCTTTGGGGACCCCTTAGCTTTGTAGTAATGCCCTGGGATTGCCTTGGCCTTGTCTGTAATCAGAGTTACACAATCAAGGAAAAAGCGAGCTCGGGGCTGTCATTTCAAATGGAGGAGCAGCAGGGAAGAAAAAGTTATTTGGTTGTGTCTGCAGAATGACATTGAACCCTTCGAGAGGGCAGTGGCTCCTCCACCACCTCCTCTTCTGCTGTGTTCCCTTTGGGTTTCCTATAGAGGCAGTGGCTGCCATTTACAACTCCCCCAGAATTTCTGTCCCCATCATCATCTATCCAGCTCTCTGGCAGGGGTACATTCTGCTCCCCCGAGGTAACCTTGAAGCTAGTGTCAATGATGGATTTGCACAACTTCACTTCTGAGTTCTGAATACATTTTTTCTGCATGACACTGAGGGAGGGGTGAGGTGTAGCGCTGGGCTGCAGCCACCTAGCTGTCTGTCTTCATTTAAAGGATTGTAGCCTGGCTCCACAGGAGAATCTTAATGCTTGGCGGTCTTGTGTGTGCTAAAGAGAAAGAAAAGAACACAAAATAAACAGTAATGCCTGCACTCCCCAACCTGGCCCCCTCACCCTCTATCCCCCCACTCCCTTTTATTTCTCTTCCTACCTCTCCTTTCCTTAGCACAATATATATCCTCACCTGTCCTCCCTCCATTCTAACATTTAAGGCAGTACTTTATCTTTTTTGTTCTCTGCTGGATCTTTAATGCCAGGAACGGTGCCTGGCATATAGCAATCAGGCTCTGAATAAATATTTATTGAATGAATGGACTGGACCTGGTGACAGCGTGGGTTTGAGATGAAACAGATGGCAGTGGCAGTTCTGGTGCTGACAGAGAACAGCTATCTGCTCCAGCAGCAACACCTCCCTTCCAGGAGCCTCAGTTTCTACATCTATATAAGGAGGGTTGTAATTACCCAGACCTGCCAGACATCTTGTGAAGATGAAATGGAAGGATTCATGTGAAAGTGTCTATTAAGCTACAATATTCCATGTGTGAGTCATGGTTTGTTTAGCCTGATTTTAGTGTTTTGATTGCATTTTTTCTTTCTGTCGGGGACTTAAAATCCTTTTGAAAGTACGTAGAATATAAGTGATTCAGATAGAAAAAGAAAGTAGATGAGAATATTTCACAAATAAGGATGTAGCATTAAAATGAAGTTCTCACAAAAGTAAAAAAAAAGTACAAATGGTAAAAACACTTCTAAGAACAATTGGGAATCAGCCCATTGATGAGAGAGGTGACTTTAGATGGAGAGGTGACTTTAGAAGTCAAATTGGTGATGATTATACACACACACACACACACACACACACACACACACACACACACTCTCAGAGTGGGCAAGGGTCCCATGAGATGACACTCATACATTCCTGGTGAAAATAGAGATTCTTACAAAAAATAATTTAGCATCAAGCATCAAGAGCCTTAAAATATCGATTTTTAAAAATTGACTAATCTAACTATTTGGAATCTATCCAAAGAATGAATTGCAGGTAGAGTTGCATGTATAAGATAGTTCAACATGATGTTGTTGCTTATAGTAGAGAACTGTTGGTAATAACCAAATCCCTGACAACAGAGGAAAATTCTAAAAACATTTCCATAAAGAATAATGCATTGAAATTCATCAATCACAGATATTATGCTCTAAGAGGATTTAATGTCAGGGGAAAATGCTGTCAATGTAATTTCAAAGGAAAAAAAGAAAAAAGCTATATAGATGGCATTTTCTCAGTTTTCAAATAAAAGCACATTTATATACAATAACTATTTCAAGTGTACAAACACAGAAGTAAAATTACCGGTCCCCCATAACATATGATAGGTACTACATATTTGCAAATTTTACATATATGTATGTATATGTAATTCATTTTTCTATCAATGCTTTTTTGTCATTTTTTGTTCTTTAAATTTTTGTTGATATGTAATAATTGTACATATATGTGGGCACATGTGATATTTCGTTACATGTATAGTATGTGTAGCGATCAAGTCAACATATTGGAAGTATCCATCACTTTAAGTATTTATTATTTCTGTTTTGGGAACATTTCAAGCCCTCTCTTCTAGCTATTTTGAAATATACAACACATTGTTGTTAACTATGGTCACCATACTCTACTATGGAACATTAGAATGTATTCATTCTATCTGACTATATGTTTATACCCATTAACCAACCTCTCTTCACTCACTTCCCCCACACCTTTCCTAGTCATTTCCATGTTATTCATAATAATAATACATTACTTTTGAAATAGAGAATAACTATTTTTCAAAGTTATTCAAAACTCTAATTTCTAATCTTCATATTACATGTTAATAAACGTACTAGTTATATTATTGCTAAGCCTGACATGTTAAATAAACAATTGCTTTCAATTGCATAACACAATTCTCAATTGGGGAAAGACCTGAATTAGACAAATGAGGCCCCAGTTATCCCAGGGAATTAGACCAGCCCTGTGTATCCCGCCCTTCACCTTTACCCCTCCCTTTTCCTGTTGAGAAGGCAGGGGCATAATCAGGGAAGAATCCCAAGTCGATTAGGAACTGAAATAGCTGACCCTCCCTGTCCCTGTCCTTCCTGGAGAACTAAAACCTCACCCAGAGGCCCCTCCACTGACCTCACTTCTCATACCCTCCAACAATGCAGGCAAATCCCTGGTCACTGTCTCAGTATTCCAGGCACCTGCTTTTCAGATTTTGAAATTGTTTCTCCTCTAACCAATATGTAAATTTTAGCAAGATTCAAAAGTCACAGGGGCTAAGGTCCATGTTAATTGGGCAAATTATACAGAAACATTGGATATTGAATTCAAAATGCCAAGCACATTGAGATTATACACCAATTATATACAGGTGTATTCTACACCTGCAAAGATTGAAAGCAAAAAGGTAAGGATAAAAATTCGCACATTAAAGCAATGAGATTGTAGATTTCCTTTCTGTTTTCCAAAATTCTATCTGAAGTTCATCTTCTATGGCTTATGCAGTAAAATTATTTTATAAAAAGTGATTCTCAATAAGGAAATGGATTCAGAAACTTTTAGCAACTTCCTCAAAGGCACACAGGAGGTAAGAGACAGAGCTAGGATTCAAATGAAAGCCTGTCTTGATTCTTCCATTCTTTTTAATCCCTTATGGCTTTTCTGTGAAATAAGATCAACCATCACAACAGTGGGCACAAGTCACAAAAAAAAAAAATGTTTACACAGAAACAGAAGACAGATATGTGAATGTGGATGGAAGAATATATATTTTAAAAAAGAAGGAAATCAAATAGGGGCTATGAAACCAACTGCATCACTTTTGCTAAATTGAGCCTTAGAAATAGTTGAGACTTGGGGGTCAGAAAATTGATCTCCCTCCACTGCTTGACATCCCTAGCTAATTCAAAGTCACCCAGTTAGACATTCTCTTAGCACTCTGAAAATTTGTTCCAGGGCATTTATCTCAGTTGCAATTTTACATTTCTTTTTGCACTTATTTATGGAGTGCCTTTCTCCTCTGTTAGACCCAAAAGTGCCTAAATGCAAGGCCATGACTATTTTCATTCACTCTGTTCCCCTCGAGTTTAGAACTGAGTTTGGCAGATAGTAAATGATCAATTAATGTTTGTTGGATGAATGGGTGGATGATGAATTTTTATCTGTCCTCATGTTTGAGCTGCTTGCCCTACTGTCCATGTGTTTTTCCCTTGGATGTGCTGACAGCTGGATTTCAGACCATTCTTTCAGCATCCCTTCACCATTATCAAGCTACGCCCTGCAGGAGGTACCGAGTCAGTTCTTCCACAGCTAAGTACTGTAGCTCTCTTCATCCACTCCTTCTACACTGAAGCCCTGGTTTGAGGGCCAGAATTTAATCTCAAGAACCAACTCTAGCTGAAAGGGGAAAGATTGCTTTACAAGTCTGCAAGCTCCATTTGTGAGGCCCCAACTTTGTGTGTCTTGTCTTTGCATGAAAACATTTACTTCTCTTCTCTTTTAGACTTCAGTTTCTTGAATGCAGTATCTGTAGGTACTATGGATGGAATGAAAGTTTCTCTCTCCCCAAATTCATTTGTGGAATCCCTAAGTCTCAATATGGTGATATTTGAAGGTGGAGCCTTTGGGAGGTAATTAGGTTTAGGCGAGATCATAAGAGTGGGTCTCTCTGATGGGATTAGTACCATTATGTAACGGGATGACTAGACCAGAACTCTCTCTCCACCATGTGAAGACGCAGTGAGAAGCCAGCTGTCTATATGCCAGGAGGGTGGGCCTTGCCAATAACCTGACCTTGGTGGCATCCTGATCTCAACTTTCAGCCTCCAGACTATACGCAATAAATGTTTGTTGCTTAAGCCACCCAGTTTATGGTGTTCTGTAACAGCAGCCTGAACTGGCTAAGACAAGTATCATTCTGTGCTCAGCATAGAGATCCATTCACTCTTTCATTCTTTAATTTATCATTTATTTGGTAAATTTTTATTAAGTACATATTTTGTTCAGGCCCTGGGGCTCCAGAAATGTCAGTAGCCAGTTTAGTGAGAAAAAAAACAGAGAAGGCTAGAATTCTGTTCCCAAGAATGAATGTCATGTTTCTGAAATCCCCATTGTTCATGCTTGAGGAACATGACAATCATTTAATTAACAGTGTTTCATTTGTGGAAGTTCATATTTAAGATTGAGAACTCAATAAAGGTGGTATTAATACTATAGTCTCATTTCAATAATTTAACTGGACATTTATTTTTCACTTAGAATTCTTTCCATACAATGTTACCGAGATGCTTTTAAATTTATTTTGCTTTGTTGCTAATATGCTTATTAAGAGGATTAAAGAGTGTGCCTCATCCATCAGCCAAACATCTATGTCACTTTGATTATATGAAACACAGTTGACTACCATACCAGCCAATTAGGTTCTAAGAGCTATAGAATAATTAGAACATGTTGTAAAATATATTTAACAAGTTTCTAGGACTATTTTTTAAAACTTCTTTGCACAGTTTCATTTATTTCAAATCCCACTTTCATGGGTTTCTTCTTCTTTCTTCTTTAATATCATTTCCCTGCAAAGGAGTTAAATCACTGTATATTCTCCAGTGTGGTAAATAAGGAAACAGTTTACCAAGTGCAAAGTCATATGCCATGGTTCCTTCTAATAGATCTCTATGGCTGTGGAGCAATTCCTAATAACCAATAATAATGGGAAAGTGGAATGTTAAAAGGGGAAGCTTTGCTCAAGACAAGAGACATTCTAGAGTTGGAGACTTAAGATGTTAGTTATTAAATGACTGCATCACATGAAAAAAATGGGAAATTAAAGGGGGCAGATTTTAGGGAGATGTTGGTAGACTGAGTGTCCCTGACTCTCCACAATGGAGAGGGGAAGAAGGTAATTCCTTCTTTCAAACTTCCACAGGTGGTCTTGGCAGTACTACTCTGAAAATTCAATGTATGTCTCTTGAAATTTTGGTGGCACAGCAGCCTGGTGTCTGGCACCTGCCTCAACAACAAACATAACAACAAGAAAAATACATGCTAGAAACTTTTATAGTGGAGCAAAGGTGAGAATGGCATGTTGGGTGGCCTACACTCCAAAAGTTGACCCTGCAAATGGTGTATGAGTGCTTACCATGATTTAGAAGAGCGATACTGCTCCTCTGCACCACCACACACACACAAGAAGAGGAAAAGAGATCCGGCACGGCATCTTATTGGACTGCTTCCAAACAGGGCTACCTGGAGGGTTGAACAGGTCCCAGCAGAGAATCTAGGTATCTGGCGACTGAAGAACAAGTCCTTGTCCAATGAAAACAGAGATACCTTCTTCTTGGCAAAAGAAGAGTGGGTAAGAGTAGGCTGGCGGATCTTTAAAGAACCAAACAAATGCTTTGGAGAAAGTCAGTTCTAAATAGCACGCCACCTATGCCACACTGCTACGTGACTACCAGCCACACAACAACTTCCCTGTGCTTCTTCTCATAATCCCATGCTGATGAGACTCAGAACCTCGGTAAATGAAATAAAAAGATGTCAAAGCACTGAGGGAGAAGGAAGAGAAGAAGCTGTCCACACACAGGCTCTCCTCCTGAAACTGCAGTTTTCATGTCTGCACTGGGGCACAACTGGTGAGGGAGAGAAATCTCAAATTAAAAAGAATATTGAAGTTTGGCCTTTCCATGGGATTGGATATTATACATTCTGAAGAGAGATTACTTTTTGTGAATTGACCTGAGAACTGTTCACAGGTGCTGAGAGTGAGTCATAAGGTTCAGGTACTTGCCATATTTGTCCAGCAGCAGGGAAAGACCTTGCACTACAGGGCCAGCTTTGGAGACATGAGAGATGAAGGTAGTCCACCCTATGAGTTTTTTTCTCATTTGATGTGATGGTTACAAATGACACAGAAACATTACAGAATTGAAAGGGTCTAATCCGACGTGAGGGATGAGAGAAAGTGTCTTAAAGGGGCAGATGTCTGAGGTGAGCCTTGAACAAGGAGTGAAAATTGATAGATTGTTGAAGTTTTTAATATAGGAGCATCTGCCAGACCAAATCCACACCTCATGAGGTCACTTAGAAATAGTAAGAAACAGGCCAGGCGCAGTGGCTCACACCTGTAATCCCAGCACTTTGGGAGGCTGAGGATGGTGGATCACTTGAAGTCAGGAGTTCGAGACCAGCCTGACCAACATGGAGAAACCCCATCTCTACTAAAAGTACAAAAATTAGCCAGGTGTGGTGGCGGGCACCTGTAATCCCAGCAACTCAGGAGGCTGAGGCAAGAGAATCGCTTGAACCTGGGAGGCAGAGGTTGCAGTGAGCCAAGATCACACCACTGAACTCCAACTTGGGCAACAACAGCAAAATTCTGTTTAAAAAAAAGAAAAAGAAAAAAAGAAATAGTAAGAAACATTGGAAAAATAATCCTTCCAGCTACCAATTTCTGAGTGCCTACTGTGAGTTGAATCTTCTGGTAAGAAGCACTTTGCATATATCTCTAATTCCATCCCAAAATGGCAAGGGAGAGGTTTTTACTTCTATTTTGTGGATGAGGAAAATGGCCCTAGAGGGGTTGGGTAGAAATCTGGCACTCAGTGCATGAGTGGTGGAATAGGATTTCCACTAAGTACTTTCTGGTCCCAGGGCTGGTGCCCATTACTGTTCTTTATGTGGTAGGTGAGTTCATTCTTTAACTTAATTCTCACAACAGTCTTCTCAGGAGAGCTATCCATGACACCTCTAAACAGCATCCTGAAGTTCTTTCCTTCCCTTGCTCCTGTAATCTTTGTCCAAGTCTTGAAAATGGCATTTACCTTGTTACTGTAAAGATTTATTTATACACCTGTCTCCCGTTAAACTGGAAGATTCCTAAGTGCTGAGATGGAGCTCTTGCTTTCTGCGTTCACTAAATATCTAGGCCAGCTTTGCACACAGTAGGACTTCCTAATGTTATTGAATGAATAAATATATCATTAATCGTACATGAAAAAAGGGAATTCAGAGAGTTGAGATAATAAACTTAGGTAACACAAGTAATTACTTGGGAGCCAGAATCTAAATCCCTGTCTCTTGATTTCAAATATAGGGCTCTTCCCATTTATTTAAGTTGGGATTAATACAATTTTCATAGTTGCTTTGGATATATTATACTTGACTACCAAGACAGAATCAGAAGGGTATATGTGTGTATACACATGCACATAGACATGTATAGAAATAGAAATCAAAATTTTTTTCTTAGTTGACTAACTTCAGCCATTAACATGCTAATTCTTCAATTAGCCTCACTGTTTACCTTAATTCCTATTTTGTTTTGTTTTGTTTTTAGAGACAGAGTCTCACTCTTGCCACTTCACTCTCACCTAGGCTGGAGTACAGTGGCAAGATCATAGCTCACTGCAGCCTTGAACTCCTGGGCTCAAGGGATACTTCTGCCTCAGTCTCCAAAGTAGCTAGGATTACAGCACCACTATGTCCAGCTAATTTAAAAAAAAAAGTAAATATTTGGTCTTGCTATGTTGTCCATGCTGGTCTCAAACTCCTGGCCTTAAGGGAGCTTCCTACCTTGGCCTTGCAAAGTACTGGGATTATAGGCATGAGCTACCATGCCAGGTATTTTTTTGTTTTTGTTTTTGAGATAACATTCCACAGCTTTCATTAAAAAAATATTCATTGTGTACTTATTGTGTTGCAGGCAATTAGATATGCCCGAGGAGAACCCAAACTACAGATAGGTTTGGGTTTTCCTTGCATATATATGTATATGCAACCTATATATATTTACTTTGTATCTCCATATATGTGTGTATGTATATATATATATAGGTGTGCATATATACATACACACAAACTATTCTATTTACTAATCTGAGTTCCAGTGATATGAAGGAAAATGGCACAGTGCTTTGAGAATCTATTATAGAGAGCCTTGATCTAGGCTGGTTCCTCAGAGGAAGGGTTCCTAGAGATATGAAGGCAGATCTGAGAGCTAAGGGAGAGATGAGATATATGTCAAGAGTAGGTAGATAAAGGGATAGGTTTCCATGGAATTTGTGAGCAGTTAAAGGGAGGCTGACATCACTAGGACACACAGATGGAGATAGAGTCGCACAACAGCATGTAGACCTGGCAATGGTCAGGTCGCGCAGGATCCAGCTAAAAGTATTGATATTTTGTTACTTACTCTAAAAGCACTACAAAGGCACTGAAGGGGTTTAGCTGAAGAATAATATAGTCAGTCTTGAATTTCTAAAGCCTCTCTGTTGGATGTGAAGAGAATAAGTTGGAAGGAGATAAGAATGGAAGCTGGAAGTCCAGTTATGAAGTGATTAAGTAGTCAGGTGAGAGACAATAACAATGTATCTGAATATTCTATAAACTCCTGGGCCTTCTATCTTGGCTTCTCTACATAAAAAAAGAGAAAGTTCATTCCTCTGATTTGGACCATAAAGTACTGAGAAATTTCCCCCAAAGAATATTGCCATAATTTCGTTCTACACAATTCTCCCAAGTGTCATTCAAAGGCAATGAGTGTGGAGAAAAGGTGTGCTGGTATTTTCTGATCTATGTTTGTTCAGATCAATGGTCTTTTGGATGCTGCAAGATCTTTCTTCACCAATCTAATATCCCATTGTTTGTGGCTGAGCCTTTCCTCGTGAAGCCAGTGATGACCTGATCTTAAGAGGCTCACATTTTTGACTACCCTGAGGGTCTGGTTGAATTAGTTACTCTCTGGAGACCCATGGTGACCTAATTCTCTGTCTTGTCTGTGCCTTCAGTAGAGGGCAAGGGTGTCTTCATCTCCAATCTTCCCCTGCTTTGTCTTGACTGCTCTCACACTCAGACCTAATGCCCATGGAAGCTTTCCTCCTCCTCTTTCTCTTCCTCCTCCTTCTCTGCTGCAGGAATGCAATGGGGGAAGGGGGGCAGGTGGGTGGGTGTTGAAGCGGTGATTTGTGCCATTAACCTTGATCTGTAACCTCAGAAGTTCAGAAAACGGAAAAGGAGAGTGGAGCATCCGCTGGGCTTTTTCCTAACCAGTAGTTGTGCATTTCACTTGTAGAGATAATGCCAAATTAATGGCTCTGTCTACCTGATTAAGTCTTTTTTATCTTCTCTGAAACTGCAAAGGAAAAAAGCCCACCTCAGCCATCACTGCACTAAACCAGACCTAATACTCCCATAACCTTTTACCATGTGAGAACTAGTGTTCTCTGAGGGCTCACCTAGCATGCCTCCTCAAATGTTACAGTTTGTAAAACTGATAAAGAAAATAAATTCATTCATTCACCCAAAAATTTGTACCAAGTGCTGATTGTATGCTAGGCTTTGTTCTTGGATAGGGAATCAGAGATGTAAATGAGTAAATGTCTCTGCTATTGAAGAGCTCACTGACTGCCCGGTAAACAAGTGAATTAGCCATAACCTTGTGAGAGCTCTAACCTTGCAAGGGACTGATAGCTCATGGTGAGGGGTAGGTCAGAGTGGTCTGGCCCTATGCCCAAGGCTCCTATGAAGGCTAAATCAAAAGTTCTATCTCTACTGGGGAGTTTGTTTTTTTTTTTTTCTTTCCAGAAAACATCTAATTTGGTCAGCCTTGGAGTTAAACGTATTTTTTTTCCTCCTTATCTTGTGTTTCTCAAGCTGAGAGTATTTCAATTACAAACTTATTAGATAGATAAATGTATATTTTACTGCTTTAATTTGGATCCAGAAAAAGATAGACAATCTTGTAAAACTTATCCCAAGGCCAAGGATACTGCAACTATTTAATATATTATGTGCTGACTGTGTGCTGAAAAATAAGAGTCTCTACTACTCTCTCATTTCTTGGTTAGATGTGATATCCAATTAACTCATACCAACAGGCACAATGCAATTTAGAATAAGCTGTCACAAGAGATGCACCAATAGTGAGGATTTAGGGTGCTTAGTGAAAAACTGAACATTTGCATTAGGCCTAAAAGAATGGGCAAGTTATCAACAAGGGTCATGTACCGAAGAAAGTCCTGCCAAGTATGATCCTCTATAAGCTATTTCACCCAGTTGAGCCTGAATTTTCTCAACAATGAAGAAAGGAACATTATTTAATAACACCTATCTGCCTCATGCAGTAGAAACTAAATGAAATATTTAACATAAAACCAGGCTCTAATGCATAGTGATAATGGTGGTGGTAGTGGTGATGATAATCCTGGGTGGTGGTGATGAAAATGCTGATGGTGGTGGTGATGATAATGATGTTGGTGATGGTAATGGTGATGATAATGGTAGTAACAGCGGTGATGGTGGTGGCGATGAAAATGGTGATGGTGGTGGTGGTGATGTTGGTAGTGACGTTGGTTGTGATGAAGAGTATAAGGATAATGATTGCAATCGTCATGGTGCTGATGAGACAATGATGATGAAGAATTGTACCACTTCTATGGATATCATCCATAACCTTCGATCATCCTTCAGGATTTTTCTTTGAGACAGAGTCTCGCACTATCACTCAGGCTGGAGTGCAGTGGTGCGATCTCGACTCACTGCAAACCCCGCCTCCCGGGTTCAAGCCATTCTCCTGCCTCAGCCTTCCAAGTAGCTGGGATTACAGGCTCCTGCCACCACGCTCAGTTAATTTTTGTATTTTTAGTAGAGACGGTGTTTCACCATGTTGGTCAGGCTGGTCTCGAACTCCTGACCTCATGATCTGCTCGGCTCTGCCTCCCAAAGTATTGGGATTACAGGCGTGAGCCACCGCACCTGGCCTCGGGGTTGATAATATTTAGTTTTTGTAGGACTGATGTACACTGATTAGAATGACAATTTGCCTAAGGAATTGTTCAGTGATTCATGAGGGCCCAAAAGACAGAGTGGCATCTCCCAAATGACAAAGGAGGCTATGGACCATGCCTACTCAGAGGTGTTGCCAGCCAATTATAGGCAGAAGGCAGACAACTGTCAGAAGGATTTCCAACACAAGAAATTTCTCTCGTCTTTCAACAGAAAGTTTGTTTTCTAGGGGCTGAGTTTGGTGGAGATTTCTTATTTCCTGGTTTTCTCTGGGAAGCAGTAAAAAGCACATTGCATTTCATTCTTTACAATGTCTTATCAATAACAAGATTGCCTCTCTCTGCCTTTCTTTTAAGTACCTGGGTTCAGGGTCCTGTTTATAGCTTCTCTAGTTAGGGGATTCCTTTTACTCTGAGGAAGAAAAGCAGGGTGCTTGAGAGAAAGAGATTTCTGGAGTTTGAATGTTGGCTTCCTCACAGATTGGCAGTGTGGCCTTAGGCAGTTTTCTGGAACCAGCTAAGTTTAATAATACCTATTTCTTGCTTTTTGTCTCCCTTCCTCCATTCCCACTCCTTTCCTCTCTGCTCCAGTCTTTCTCATGTTGAAAGACAGTGATTTCAAGACACCTGAGACTTTTGCAGTGAGCTCCCTGGGCTGCCTGATGCTCTCTGTAGCTGAGTAAGAACAGGTCTGGGAGAAAGGCAAAGCTCTGATCCCACATGCTCGATGAGGCCTAGCTGTGGAGATGCTGCTCTTCTGTGTAGAGGGAACTGGAACTTTCAAGGCGCTCTAGAGATGTAGGTAAAACAGAGGATATCATACTGAAAGAAGCTGTGGAAGTGTTCATAGAAAAGCATGTTGCTTAAAAATAGCCCACAGCTCCATTCTGCAAATCTGCCCTGTCCCCCTCATTCTGATTCTGCTGCAGTCTATAATCAAATGTGAGTGAAAGCAAGTCTACCTAGCCTTGAGATAAAAGCTTTCTTAAAAAAGAAAAGATAGCTGGTTTCCAGTACGGCATGCAAGGAGCTTAGAAGTTTCTGCTCTGTCCTCACAACAGGTAAAAAGCTGAAGAAACTAAAAAATCAACAACTCGTCTTATACCCATCAAAGAAGTGAGGTCACAGGGCAAACTGCTGCCCCCAAAATTGAAGATGCAGGTGGATACAGAGAATCACAACTTACAGGAACAGAAACTTATGAGCAGAAATCTCTGGAGTAGCCAGTGCCAGTCTAGGAAAACCTACAGTGTAGTTGATGAATTGCTGAAGGCTCAGTGTGCCTGAGTCCAAAGGTCAAAAACTCCAGGGTTACCAAGTCATAGAAAGGTCTTCACACTTTTCTCAGTTTTACTTCCAAGAGCTCTACCAAGTCCTCAGAGTGAAGATAGAAAAAAAAAAAAAAATCCCTCCATGCTGCCAGAAAGGCAAGGAAGACATCTTAAAATGTGCCAGAACATTCTGTTCTACTTCACAAAGTCTGTCCTCAGGAAAAACTGCTTAACCAGAGCCTAATCTGCTGTAGTTTTATCAGATCCTAACTTCCATGGGGGAAGGAAAATACCCAACTCCAGTTCACTCTAGTCATCCTGTCCCAGGGAGAGAAAAACAGTGAGAAACATTTTCAGGTTCACAGCGCAGAGGTCCAGGCTTGATAAAATGCTGAGACCTAATAATAAGACTATGGAATGTTGTCTCTCCCTCCATATCATACCACAACATTAAAAGGGCCTAATTACAGCAGCTTCTTTTTACCCAGTACATCAAATACAGCTATCAACAAAAAATTTTAAAGCTATACGAAAAACACAGTTCAAAGAGACTGAACAAGCATAGGAGTAGAGTCAGACACGGCAGAGATGTTAGAATTATCAGACCAGGAGTTTAAAATAATTCTCTTAGGGATCTAGTGGAAAAGTAGATCCCAAGCAAGAACATGGAAACACAGAGATGGAAACTCTAAGAAAAAATTTAAGAGACTTGCTAGACATACACACACACATACACACACACACAGAATGACTTTGGAGGGCTCATTAGTAGACTGGCCATGGCTGAGGAAAGAATCTGAGCTTGAGGAGATGACAATAGAAATTTCCAAACTGAGAAGAAAAAAGACAAAAGGCTTGAAAAAAGTGGAACAATATTCTAAAATCTGTGGGACAACTCTAAAAGAGCAACACATACATAATAAGAATGCCAAAAGGAGAAGAAAAACAGAAAGGAACAAAAGCAATATTTGAACCAATAATTACTAAGAATTTTCTCAAATTAATATCAGAAATCAAACCACAGATGAAAGCTCAGAGAACATCAATCAGGATAAATACCAAAAAAACTACACTTGGGTACATCATATTCAAGCATCAGAAGATCGAAGATTAAAAAAAACTTGAAAAAATTGAGAAAAAAACATTCTCTATAGAGAAGAAAAGATAAGAATTATATTAAATTTCTCCTCAGAAATTATGCAAACAAAAATAGAGTAGAATACTTGCAGCATTAAGAGGAAATAAAAAGCAAGTAAGAATTCTCCACCCTATGAAATTATTCTTCAAAAGTGAAGAAGCAATAAGGACGTTCTCAGATAAACAAGAATGGAGGAGATTTGTTGCCAGGAGTCATGCCTTGCAGGAAATATTAAAAGTTTTTCAGAGAGAAGAAAAATGATTTGGGTCAGAAACTCACACTTACATAAAGCAAAAAAGAGCATCAGAGAATGATTAAGTGAAGGTAAGATAAAAACCATTCTAATTCCATGGGAGAAAATATTTGCAAACTATGCATCTAACAAAGGTCTAATATACAGCATCTATAAAGAACTTAAACTTACAAGATAAAAACAACCCCTTAAAAAGTGGGCAAAGGAAATGAGCAGACTTTTTTCAAAAAAAAGACATACATCCTGTCAACAAGCATATGAAAAAAACCTCAATATCCCTGATCATTATACAAATGCAAATCAAAACCACAGTGAGATAGCATCTCACACCAGTCAGAATGGCTATTACTAAAAGCCAAAAAATAACAGATGCTAGCGAGGTTGCAGAGAAAAGGGAATGCTTACACACAGTTGGTGGGTGTGTAAATTAGTTCAATGATTGTGGAAAGCAGTGTGGTGATTCGTTGAAGAGTTAAAGGCAGAACTACCATTTGACCCAGCAATCCCATACTGTGTATATACCAAACGAATATAAATCATTCTACCATAAAGACACATGCATGTGAATGGTCAGTGCAGCGCTATTCACCATAATAAATACATACAATCAACCTAAATACCCATCAATGACAAATTGGGTAAAGAAAGTGTGGTACATACACACTATGGAATACTATGCAGACATAAAAAATAATGAGATCATATCTTTTGTGGAAACATGGATAGAGCTGGAAGCCACTATCCTCAGTAAACTAATGCATGAATAGAAAACCAAATACCCCATATTCTCATGTATAATTGGGAGCTAAATGATGAGGACACATGGAAACATAGAGGAGAACAACAGACACATGAGCCTACCTGACGGTAGATGGTGGGAGGAGGGAGAGAATCAGAAAAAGTAAATATTGGGTACTAGGCTTGGTATCTGGGTAGCAAAATAATCTGAACAACAAACTCCCATGACATGAGTTTATCTATATAACAAATCTGTATATGTATCCTTGAACCTAAAATAAAAGTTTAAAAATTAAAATAAATAAATAAATAAATTTCAAGGAAAAAAAGCACATCCTTAATTGATGTGACAGATAACAGTTTTTCAAAATAATCACAACAGTGTATTCAAATATATATTAAATATATAAACATTTATTTACGCTTACATATAAGTAAAGTGAGTGACAGCGATGACACAAGGAACACAAGGGAAATATTAGGGACATTTTATAATTATACGGTACTTGCACAATCTGTGAAGTAGTATAGTGTTATTTGAAAGTGCACATGAATTCGTTCTAAATGTATGTTTCAAACTCTAGGGAAATCACTTTAAAAAGTGAGAAGAGTAGCACAATTGATATGCTAAAAAGGAGAAAAAATGAATTATAAAATGCTCAGTTGAAACCATAAATAGCAGTTAAAGTGTGGGAGACTAAAAAAAAAAAAGAACAGGGCAACAAATATAAAACAGTAACAGATATGGTAGATATTAATCCAACTATATCAATAATCAAGTTAAACATCAATGCTTTAAATGCATCAGTTACAAGATAGATATTGCCAGAGTGGTTAAAAAATAAAAACCCAACCTATATTTGTCTGAAAGAATCTACTTTAAATACAAAAGACATACAGGTTAAAAGTTAAAGATGGAAGAAAGGTACGCCATGCTGTTAATAACACTAACCTAAAGAAAATGGAAATAGCTATGCCAATTTCAGACAGAGAAAACTTCAGAGCATGAATAGTTATCAGGGATAAAAATTAATATTACACAATAATAAAGAGGCCAATATTCCAAGAAGATATAATAATCCTTATTATATATGTGCCTAACAACCAATATCAAAATATGTGAGGTAAAAACTGATAGGACTCAAGGAGAAATAGATGAATCCACTATTATAGCAAGAGACTTTAACACTCCTCTATTAGAAATGGACAGATCCAGCTGGTAGAAAATCAGTAAGTATTTTCAACAGCAGTATCAATCAACTGACTATAATTGACATCCATAGACTACTTCATCCAACAATAGCCTGTTACACGTTCTTTTCACGCTTATATAGAGCATTCGCCAACATAGACTGAATTCTGTCCCATAAAACATGTCTTAATAAATGTAAAAGAATAACTACCATGCAATATCTGCTCTCAAGCCACAATGGAATTAAACTAAAAATCAATAATGAAAAGACAGCTGGAAAATACCAAAGTACTTGGAGATTAAACAACACACTTTTAGATAACAAATGGGTCAAAGAAAAAAATCTCAAGAGAAATGTTAGAATATTTTGAATTAAATATAAGTGAAAATACAACTTATCAAAATTTGTAGATTCAGCAAAAATAGTACTTAGAGTGAAATTTATAGTGCTGAATGTATATATTAGAAAATACGGAAGTTTCAAAATCAATAATCTAAGCATCCATCTTAAAAAACTAGAAGAAGAGGAAATTATATCCAAAGTAAACAGAAGAAAAGAAAGAAGTACAAAAAATTAACTTAACTGAAAATGGGAAATTAATAGAGTAAATCAACAAAACTGAAAAAGACCTTTTTAAAAAACATTTAATAAAACTGGGAAGCCTCTAAGCAGGCTATGAAAAAAAGGGACAAGAAACAAATCACTAATATTAGAAAGGAGAGAAGATACATACTATAAAGCCCATGAAATTGAAAAGGATAATAAAAGAATATTATACACAACTTTGTGCCCACAAATTTTATAACCTGGATGAAATGGACCAGTTTCTTAAAACACGCAATCTGCCAAAACTCATGTAAAAGGAATAAATATATAAATAGGCTTATATCTACTAAAGAGATTGAATCAATAATAACTTTCCAAAGCAGAAAGCACCAGCTATAGATGGGTTCACTGGTGAATTCTGCCAAACATGGAAGGAAGAAATTATACAAATTCTCTACAATCTCTTTCAGAAGATTAAAGCAGAGGTAATACTTCTTAACTTATTTAATGGGGTCAGCACCAGACACTACAAGAAAAGAAAACTACAGACCAATGTTTATCATCAACATAGATAAAAAATTCTCATTAAAATAGTAACAAATCAAACCCAACAATGGTTTTTAAAAAGAGAATTTTACATCATAACCAAGAAGGGGATTTATTCCAGATAAGCAAGGGTGGTTTTACATTTGAAAATTAATAAACGTAATCTGTCATATAAACAAGATAAAGAAGAAAAATCACATAATCATATCAATAGATGCAGAAAAAGCATTTGACAGAATTCAACACCCAGTCATGATAATATCTATATATAATATAAAATACATAATAATATATAAAAATATATATTTTATATATATGCTAAATAAGGATAGAAGGGAACTTTTTAAACTTAATAAAGAACATTAGTAAAACATTACACTAACATTACGCTTAACATTAAGAAACTTCCAGCTTTCCTGCTAAAATCAGGAACAAGACAAGGATGTTTCCTCTTACCACTCCTTTTCAACACTGTACCAGAAGTGCTAGCAAATTCGATGAGAAAAGAAAAGGAAATAAAAGGTTATTAATATCAGGAAGGAAGAAATAAAACTGCCTTTGTTCACAGATGACATGATTGTCTAAATAGAAAATCCAAAAGAATCAACAAAAAAACCTCTTGGAACTAATAAACAATTATGGAAAATTTGCAGAATACAAGATTGATAGAGAAATTCAATTGCTTTCCCATACTTCTGCAACAAACAAGTGAAATTTGAAATTAAAAACACATTGCCATTTATATTAGTGCCCCTCAAAATTATATGCTTAGATATCAATCAAACAAAATAGATACACATAAAGGATTAGTTTCAGGGCCATCCACAGATACCAAAATCCAAAGATGCTCATATTCCTTATATAAAATGATGTAGTACAGTTGGCTCTCTGTATCTGCAGGTTTCAATCCAAGGTTGGTTGAATCCCTACCTGTGAAACCTTATGGCATATCGACAACACCCAAAACATGGAAGCAACCAAGATATCCTTCAGTGGATGAATAGATAAATAAACCAAGGTATACACAAACAATTAAATATTTGCACTAAAGAGAAATGAGCTATCAAGTCATAAGAAAACAGGGAGGAAACTTAAATGCATATTACTAAATGAAAGAAGCTAATCTGAAAAGGCTACATACCATATGATTCCAAGTATATGACATTCTATAAAAGGCAAAACTGTGGAGACAGTAAAAAGTTCAGTGGTTGCCAGGGGTTAGCAGGGAAGGAAGGGTGTATTAGTCTATTTTCACACTGCTATGAAGAAATACCTGAGACTGGGTAATTTGTAAAGAAAAAGAGGTTTAATAGACTCACAATTCCACATGGCTGGGGAGGCCTCACAATCGTGTTGGAAGGTGAAGGAGGAGCAAAGGCACATCTTGCATGGTGGCAAGCAAGAGAGCATGTGCAGGGGAACTGTCCTTTATAATACCATCAGATCTAATGCGACATATTCACTACCACAAGAACAGCACAGGAAAAACCTGCCCCTATGGTTCAATTACCTCCCACTGGGTTCCCCCTCATGACAGGTGGGGATTATGGGAGCTACAGTTTGAGGTGAGATTTGGGTGGAATAGAGCACAGAGGATTCGTAGTGCAATGAAACTATTCTGTATGATACTATTATATATAGTACTACATGATAATACATGTCACTGTAGATCTGTTCAAAGCCATAGAATGTACCCCACCAAGAGTGTGCTATGGACTTTGGGTGATAATAATGTGTTAATATAGGTTCATCAATTGTAAAAAAAAAAAAAAAAAAAAAAAATGCCATTGTGGTGCAGGATGTCAATAGTGGGGGAGGTTGTGCATTTGTGGGGGACAAGAGTAGTATAAGAACTCCATATACTTTTCACTCAATTTTGCTGTGAACCTAAAACTGGTCTATAAAAATAACATTTGCTAATTCAAAAAGGAAAATATAGTATTAAAAACTGAGTGCTCTCCAGAAAACGGACATAGCAAATACCAAAAAGTTAAAATAACAGCAATTAAAATAAAAATAACAACTAAGTGGTTAAACATTTACTCTGCACCCTGTCTCATTAACTCTTTATATGCATTATCTCATCTAATTCTTGCATCAGCCTGATGAGGTGTGTACTAGTATTTTCTTAAACTTGCAGATAAAGAAACTGAGTCACCAAGAGGGTAAGTCACTCCTGCCAGATGCACGTTATAGGTAGTAGAGTCAGGGTTGGCATTTAGTTCCTCTACCTTGCGCTTCGTCCCAAGACACATGCTAATGTCACATTTGTTTTCCAGATCTTGGTTAGAATGCTGATACATAAAAGTGGCCAGGACTATAAAATACAGAAGAACACTTGGAGTCTTAGATGGAAGAGGGGGGCTTCCTCCACCTCTGCAATACTGACATTTTAGACCTCATATTTCTTTATTGTGGGAAGCAGTCCTGTACATTCAGAATGTTTTGCAGCAGTTCCACTTCTACCTACTGTACGCCAATAGCACCTCCACCTTTAATGTGACAACCAAAAATGTCTCCAGACATAATGATTTTCCCCTGGGGGGCAAAATCCCCCCAGTGGAGAACCATTGCTTTACTACATGCCATCACTCCAGGTCTTGATATCAATCACAGAACCAGGCTTAATGTTTCTGTAACTACCAAATACCTAGGCCTTGCTTCACTGTGTTTTTGTCAATCTGACCTTTTCTAGCTGCCAACGATCTCTGTCCCAGCTCCATCAACAATAAAATGTAGATAATACTTTGCAGAAGTAATGTGAATTTTAAAGCACGACCTTCCTCATAGATGACAATGTCAAATAATATTTACTAAAAGACCAAGAGTATAATGATACTCAACAAATGCTGTTTATCTTTACTTTGCCCATCTCACCTAAAATGCTACAGTAAACAAAACTGAGCCCCCTCTTCTCCCCTAGTGAAATAACCTAATCACCCACAGACACTCTGAAAGAATGGATGTATTTTTTAAAAATGTCAATTCCTGAATTTGATGATTTTGCCAGTATACATTAAGTAGACATTTGGAAACATCTGAATAAAGAATGACGCTCCTTAGTTTTTAATCCATATGACTGTGCCTCTCAGACACAACCTAAAAATGACTTTCGTTAACTATGAAAGCTTCAATGGGCTATATGTGGACTGAGTCCATCCTTTCTTTTGTTTAAAACAGACCATGGTGTCATAGATTTATGTAACAATGTCTTAGAATCTGATGTGGATTAGAATTTATTTTACATTTCTGCCATAGAATTTCATTTTAATTGAAAAAGGAGATTTCTTTCTCTGTGTGTGTGTGTGTGTCTGTGTCTGTGCATCTGTGTATATACATATATGATGTCGGTATTTACTTTGTGTTTATATGTGTAAGTGTATGTTCATATATACTTTCATGTCTATACATATTTATGTACTTCTATGCATCAAGAGGAAAATTATATTGCTGACATAAAGCTATCTGTATCAGATGAAGATGGAAAAAGAAAGTTTAACATATTGGCCAATCTGCATAGAGAGCGCATACACAATTGCAGCCCATCTTGGGAGGCAAAAGCAGTACTTTCTTGCTTCTAATGGCTTGATAATAGCCATTATCCGCAACAATGTAAATGAAAAGAAAATAAAAAGAGGCATTTTTATGCACTGCCCATTAAGAGCAGCATGCATATAAACTCATGAACTTGGAAAATAAATAAACGGACTGGTTGCTAAGCAAAAGCTTGATTTCATTTCCAGTCCTATCGATGGGCATTTTGTCATTAAAAAGATAAAGCTGTTTAAGCTGTCCCAAGGGAAAGACTTAAAGTGGGATAAAAAAGAATCCAGTGGAGTATGCAGACCTGAGCCAATTTTAAATAATTGCCATTCCACCCTGAAGCCAGAGATTGTGTTAAGACGTGGCCCAGCAGCCACTGGGAGCAGGGCCTTCCTACAGGAGGTGCCACATACCCAATTTGTCACACCATGGAGCCCTATGGGAACAACCCCAAGGCAAAGATAGAGGAGTCCTTGCCTTCACTATGTGATAAAATGATGCTTAAAGACCTGTATATCTTCCTTGCTGGTTTGTCATGTGGCCTCATATATCTTTGGAATAGTGTCTGTGAATCATGGAATGAAACTCAAGAGGTCGTTTGGTCCAGCTGCTTGTCCTAACCTCTCTAAATCAATTTAGCTCCATAAGTCCCATTTGTATCAATCCACTAAAAGGTACTAACTTTATTTCTGGGTGCATTAACTCAGTAAATGACTTAATATATATGGAGTGCATAATAGTGCCTGTGCATAATAGACAGTCAATATATGACCATTTCTGCTGTTCCTTATATTTAACATTTTTTTAAAGTCTGCTGATGTAAGAAACTTGATTGCCTTTGAAATTAGACATAGCTACATTCCAATTATGACTGTGTGTTCTTGAGTGAGGACTTGGCATCTATGAGCCTTAGTTCCTTAATTTATAACACAGGGATGAGAATACTTCATGCATTTCATGATTGTTGTGAGAATTAAATGAGGAAATCCTTGCAAAAGGAGGGCACATAGTAAATTCTTAGTGGATGTCAGCTATTATTGTCATCACTGCTGTTATCATTTGCATCTCAATAGATGACATTCTGTTGCTGAAACTACAGACATCTCTGGGATAAAAAATGAATGGTACTTTTCTATTACTTATGCCTTGGAGTGATGTCATGTATTGAGTAATTTTCCTCTTGAGTGGAGCTGACGGCAGAGTTTTATGAGGAATGAGAGAGGGAGGATGATGAAGAGCAAGAAAGAGGATGAAGATCAAGATTGAGAACTTGGACTTTGTGTGAGAAAGGAGATCTGAGTAGCGACTACTCTCCTGGAGGATGGAAAAGAAGATTCAAGAGTGTTCAAGATCTCACTTTCATAGAATCAGCTGAACTATGTTCAGGGCTGGGGTGAGACCACAGACAAAGCTAGCAAGGTGCCTGGATTAGGGAGCTCAAGGTCTAGTCAGGGATAGAGGAATGTAAATGGGCCATTACAATACAAGTCTCAAGTACTTGGATGGCTTAGAAACTCACAGGCAGTGGCACTTAACTCTGACCCAAGGCAATGAGGAAGACTTCCTGGAGGCATATATATCTTAGAGGCTTCTGAAGAGTTCAGAGGACATAGGAAAAGACAGCAATTGCTCTGCCGCTTATAAAATGTAGAATAGCATGCTTAAACTTTCTGAGCTTCAGTCTTGTTTTTCTATAAAATGTGGATAACAGAATACGGACTATGATGATTATAGACATTATAATACATATTATACTTATATTAAGGTGCTTCATCAAAATTTCTTATTCATTTATTCAATGAATGCCAGTCTTTATTGCCAAGATGAGAAGCCTGGGCCAGTTACTCACCAACTCTGGTCTTCACTTTGCAATTGGCAATCTCTAAAATCCCATTCTTAGGGTGTACAATTTGATGAACAGGGCAAGACTGCTGGCAGATCAAACATCTCCCTCCTCTCTCTCTTGCTCTCTCTCTCTTTCTTTTCCACCCCTCTCTCTCCTGCTATTCAGTCCCTCCTTAAAAAACTTCAAACCCTGCTGAGTACAAGAAGGCATATTTAATGCCGGGCGCACACCCATCGGGGACCACTTCCCAGACCACAGCTTCTCCCTTCCTAATTAAAGTCGAGGCTTTGAAATGTTCAGTGCAGCTTTCTCTGAAGTTGCAGCTGACCAGTTTCTCCTGCTGCCTCTCAAACCTTTAATTTGTCAGTAAAATTGTTCGTTTTTCTTATGACTACTTGGGGTTTTTCATCCTCCTGTGGCTGCAGAAATGGACCCCGGTGAGCAATGCCTATTTTTACGAGAACTCCCTTGCACAACATTCGGGCTATCTCTGAAAACTGTTTCAAAGGGAAATGGATGAATGATTTCCTTCAAGGGCACCTGGGTACCTGGGGAATTTAAGTTTCCATGTTTTTTTATTTCCTTGAGGGCTAAGGATATATGTTGCTTTCTCCTAAACAGCCAGAACTGAAGCTCAATGCCAAAAAGTGCATTTTTCTCTAGGCCGTTGTTAAATCTCAATTTTGCCTTTGACCAGCTGTACAACTTGGGTAAGCTACCTGAAGTATTTGCAAGCCTCAGTTTCCTCATTGATATAACAGAGATTAAAATGTGACCTAATTGGGATGATTTGAGAATGATAATTACCAGCTCACTCTACATAGCTATGGTACAAATGTTGACAGTTTCCTGGCCTTCACAAAAAGCACAATTTAGTGAGCAGCTAGAAATTTGTGTGGGATTTTGGTGCCTAAATCCCCTCCTCCATTGTGGATTTGTGGACTTAAGGGGCTACGGGCACAATGAAGCCATAATTATGGGGAAACATAGTATCAATTATATTCTTAGTTCAGGCATGACTCCATAACTTCCTTTATAGCACTAAAGAGACTGTGGTGGAGCTGTGGCTGTCTTCCTCATCTCTCCTCTTTAAATCTCCAGCAGTTGGGCCTGAATGGTCCTCTTCCCAGATCAGCTGCATGGATGAGGCAGGCTGGTCTGAAGAGTGCACTGATAACTAGAAGCTCATTACTTTTTAGCACAGTGTGTGCCATCCATTAGGGAATCGTGGCCCATTGAATGTTCAGCAGCTCCACTGTTTGCTCCTGAAAAGGAGTTAATCATGTGGTAGGTGGGGAGGGGCAGAAGCACAGAGCACAGAGGGTTAACAGTGTTGGTCTGTTTTTTTTTCCCACTGCCCATATACAAGGCTAACATACAAGGTCAAGGGACTACATGAAACAGCCCCACCCTGACCAAGCAGGGCAGATGTATATAGATCAAAACAGACAAGTATGAGTGCAACTGGCTATATTGTGTAATCAAGGGTTAGAAAAGGGCTGACTCTTTATCAACCCAGTCACAGACACTATGTATATGACAAACAATCAGGAAGAACAAGGGCGAAGTGGTCTCAGGAAGCAACCAGCTCTTAGGGAAATTGCTCTGTGCCCTGTAGGTTCTTACTCCTGCTTCATGTGTAGGAATTTATTTCCAGATAGCAGCTCTGTAGGCCTTTTTCTGGGGTCCACCTTTTAAAAATTGAATTTGGCGAAGCTTATCTTAGTACCTACTGTATACAAGGGTATGGTAGGTACAGTAGGAAAGATAAAAATGCAAAGTCCCAAACCATCTAATGGTCATCTGCTACAGAGGATTAAGAAAGATCTCTAGAGTAAGACTCTGGGAGATGGGTTGCAAGCTGAGTATCGTTAGGCAAGTCACTTCTCTCTAAGCCTCAGCTTCCTCATCTGCAAAATGGGGTTAATAAAACCTATTTCTCAGGGCTGCTAATATGATTTCACATAAGCAACTGACACACAGAAGTCACTCAGTAAATATTAGTTTCCCATTCCTACACTACCCACAGGAGAACTCAGATACTGGGCACCATCCTTAGAGAAATGGGAAATGTGGGGATAATAAATCCCAACATCTGCTTGTTGGACCTTTTATCTGTACTTGGAGACAGGGTGTTTATGGAGACAAGGTAGATTTGCAGTGATGCATTATTAATAGTTTGTGATACGTTCCGGGTGATGGATATCTACCCCCAAGGCATACAGCGACAGCTGCATTCTCTCTCAGGGAAAACAACAGCATCAAGCCCGAGCAGAGAGCTCCAAGGGAAAAAAGAACAAAAAACTTCAGATGCCAATTATAGTCCATGTTGCCTTGCTTGGATTACTAGAAGGATCTCTCCCACCTCCCACTCCATCAACATCATAAATCTTTTGCCTTGAATTCACAGCACTTCTGTTTAGAAGTTCTTGCTGGCATAGACACTACACTGACAAGAGTTGCAAAATATCCCCTTCTTTCTGGTTGCTTTATGATAAAGTTTAGAGACTCACAGTACATCACTACCTACTATCTTTTCTGTGCAATGTGACAAAATATTTGTCCTGAGTAAAGATTGGTTGTCTCTGCAGCAGCTCAGTCGGTGGTGATTTCAGAACACAAAAACATGGAGTTATGCTGTAGAATTAACAACTTTTTAAAGTGACTGGAGGGATTAGAGATTGAAGAGATTGTTGATCCCCACTCTTCCTGTCTTACAGGTGGGAAGTGGTGAAGGGTTGTGCCAAAGGTTGCATTGGAAATTAGAGGCTAGAGAAAGGATAAGAGCTTTGGGTTCAATACCATGTATGCACTCATATTTATTAGAGCTGGTCCAAGATCTGATTTTATGAAGGTGCAAAGTATATCTGATCTTGGGAGTGTAAGCAAGGAGACATTGCTCTCCCATCAGACACTAATTTTTCTTTACTTACTCTCTGATTCTTGCAGCATCAATTGCAGGTGTGACACCTTTCATTCATTTACATTGGGACAGACTAATGCTGTAGACATAACACTGCACTTGGAGACCAGCTAGTTGCATTCTTACTGTAATCATGGAGAATATACCTAAACTCTTTAAACTTTTTTTTCACAAGTAAAACATTTAATAACAATCTAAAAGTTAATTTTTTTTTTTTTTTTTTTTTTTTGAGATGGAGTTTCACTCTTGTCGCCCAGGCTGTAGTGCAATGGTACGTTCTTGGCTCACTGCAACCTCTGCCTCTTGGGTTCAAGCAATTCTCCTGCCTCAGCTATCCAGTAGCTGGGATTACAGGTGCCTGCCACCATGCCCAGCTAATTTTTTTTTTTTTTTTGTATTTTTAGTAGAGACAGGGTTTCACCATGTTGGCCAGGCTGAGTTAATTTTATTTTTGTGACTCACTCATCTACTATTTATAGGGCAACCACCAAATGCCTAGTGATATCTCTGTGCTGGGATATGTATGAAGTGGAATACAACACTGTCCCTCTATTTTAGAACTTTGAATTCTACTGCTGGTTCCGCTCTGACCAGACTCTAGGATTCTGTTTTTTTGGTTTTTGTTTTTAATTTTTCAGTGATCTGAGAATTTGTTATCATGGTAAAGAGTTAATTACTTTTTGAGATGGCCCCAGTAAAGGGTGATTTCTGTTTACCTTGAAGAGTTGAATGTCAGTAGCCAAGACTAGGCTTGGTTTTGTAGCAGGTATTAATAGAAGTGAGTTTATTGGGAAGATGTGCCTGGTTGTACATTTGCAACTATTAGGATCAATGCATTCAGGCTACTACCTCCCCTAATTGTTCTCTCCTTCTTTCATCCTTCTCTCCCTCCTACTTTCAAACATTCACTTTTTGTGGACTTGATCTCAGCATTATAAGAGCTACCAAAATGAATTACTCTTTACTCATGAAGCCCATTACCTATATGGGGGATGTTAGGGTTTATCCTAGGAATAGTCAGGAGGCGAGGGACATGCAAAGTGTGGATATTACTTAAAATGTTGACATCTTCAACAACATGATAGGAGGGATATCGCCCTTTGTGATACATTAATCTAAGGCAGAAGCTTTTAAAGCTTATAATTTGGTTGTAGCTAGGTTATGATGGCTGAGAACATTTCTTATCTATGGAGGTACTCACCTTCGTGAGTGAAGATGACATGCCTGGAAGCCCATGCCTTCACGAATGTATGCCAGCTTTCTTCTAAAAGGTCCAGTCTTAGATGAACACTTCCTGCATGTGCATGGGCATGTGTGTAGATCTGTAGGTGCAGGCTGTGGAAGCACAGATTCACAGGCCATTACTGTTCCGTCTGGGGCATGTTTCTAAGATATGCCTCTACTTAGTCTGTCCATCAGAACACTGTGCTTTCTCAGGAGGCAATACTTCCATCATATGTTTACCCTTAACAGGTGGAACGTCCTGTTAGAAAGATGTGTTGAATATTTAATACAGACAATGAAGTTCATAAGGACTTTGTTTAAAATATCCTTTGGTGTTTGTTTGTTTTGTTTGTTTTTGAGACAGAGTTACACGCTCTTGTCGCCCAGGCTGGAGTGCAATGGCACAATCTCGGCTCACCGCGACCTCCACCTCCCGGGTTCAAGTGATTCTCCTGCCTCAGCCTTCTGAGTAGCTGGCGTGCACCACCACTCCCCACTAATTTTGTATTTTTAGTAGAGATGGGGTTTCTCTGTGTTGGTCAGGCTGGTCTCAAACTCCCGACCTCAGGTGATCTGCCCACCTTATCCTCCCAAAGTGCTAGGATTACAGGCGTGAGATACCGTGCCCAGCCTCCTTTGGTGGTTTTGATGATGGTCATTCTGAGGAGACAGTGACCTAGTGCCTTTATCTGAAGAACTTGTATCACTGTGAGGGGGACATTTAAGGCCTTGTGTTATCTTGCAACAGAGTTGAGGGTCACACTTAAGGATCTCATCTCTGTCTGAAGGAAGCTTTCTCATTCTCCCTGCTTCCTTCTTGCAGATCCAGAGAACCAGCCCTGAGTCATTTCCACTTTGAAACTGCCACCTCCCACATTTCCCAGTTTCTCGTGGCTGAATCTGCTGCCATTTGAAAATTTTTCTGATTCTCCTGGTTAAGCTCATTGAACTCTTCATTTGTTTGTTTTTAAAACTAGAAGTCTGGAGGAAGAAGAAAGTTAACTATTATTTATTGGTCTTAATTTTTTTTCAAATATGACTTTAAAACAGATTCATTGCTAAGTCCTTTTTCTGAATTATTTTATTGAATGTCCCTAACAACACTATATGTAAATATTATTTTATCTCCAAGTTATGGATAAAGAAACTGAGGTATCAGATTAAATGACTTATCTAATATTACACAGCCAGTAAGAAGTTAAGCTTTTTTAGACATGATTACTCACATGCTTGGGGAAATAGAGATGAAGTAGAAAAAAATTATAAAAGCTGAGAATTATGAAATTTACCAAATTCTTAAAAGAATTTGAACTTTAAAAAAATTGAACATTTTTTTGTTTGGTCCCTTTGGTATAAAGCTCTTCTATTCCTCTCTTCTTCATTATCTTTATGTCCTCATCCTTTACCCAAGGAAGGTCAAATTATGTCATTCTTTGGCAAAAGCTATGTTACCATAATTGTTTAAAAAATGCATGATATAGTTAACTTCTCAAAATAGTTCAAAGTTTTGAAAATGAATCATGTTTCAAACAGTCACCAACTGGAGGCCAATTTGCCTGCCATTAAGTGGTTTCCTAGATGCAGAATTTACCAAATGATTTCACTTTATTCTGTCATTTATTCCCAAAAGCACTTAAGAATCACGAAGGAACTGAACACATCTTGAGGAATTCATAATGCTAATAATCATGGCTGTCATTTGCGGAACCCCTTTACGCTCCAGGCACTTTCTTAAGCTCTTTGTACATGTTGCCTTATTTGACTATCATGGCAACTCTTTCAGGGAGGGATTACTCTCTCAAGCTTTATTAGTGAGGATGATAAGGTGCAGAAAGGTTAAGTAATGTTCCTAGGGTTCCTACAAAACAGGAATGAGCAGAGCAGGAATAAGAACAGAAGTGTCCATGCCTATGAAGGTCACACAGATGGAGGAAGCTGAACCGGTCTTCCATTGTGTGGCCAGATCTTTCAGACAATCCCTTTAATGACCTACTAACTATAACCCAGACAATATCTCATCATATATAATGGTCTTAAAGGGAGACTTTTCTTCTAAAACTTGAGTGAGAATAGCACAAGTTTGGCCAATTCGGGCAATTTTCCATCTTCATGCAATAAAATGGTGAGATTTCAATCAACACACAAATGGCTCAGTCAACACTATACTGACTAATTGGACTGTACTTCTGGGACAGTTGCAAAGTGGACTAATGGGAGCACACCCACATTAGACACCAGAGCAATAGTATAATCCTTGTAAAATTGTTTCATTTAGCAAAAAGAGTAATTGAGTATTTCTGGAAATAGTCGCTAGTTTTCTCCTTGACATAGACAGGATACTTTTCTTCTTTTCACCTCCTTTTTTCCTCTGAAAACAATAGGTATGTGATTAAAGGAGGTCTTTGAAACATGCAGATTTCTAGGACATTGTTTTATATCTCTAAAATAAAATCTACTATGCTCACTACCAGGGTGATGGGATCCATACTCCAAACCTCAGCATCAAGCAATATTCCAATGCAACACATCCGCACCTGTACCCCCTATATCTAAAATAAATGTTGACATTTTCATAAAATAATAATAAAAATATTTATTTCCCCAACACAACTTTTAAATATGAAATCAGTTTTAAAATGGTGTGTATGTGCATGTCCATGTGTGGAGTTAAATTGAGTACACGGCAAGGAATGTTGGCGAGTTCTCAAGTTGGAATATTTAACATTGAAATATTTGCAATAGTGGTGTACTGAGGGCTTATTATGTGTGTTAAACATTTTGTGTACATTACTTCTAATAAATATATGTGATAGAATAATATCTCTACTTTACAGATGAGCAAACTGAGGTTTAGTGAGGCTGAATAGCTTGCTCAAGGACAACCTTTTCAAAAGCCCGTATGTATCTGATGCCAAACTATTCCCTTTTTAACTGACCAGACTGCCTCTCCAGCCCACGCTGAAGAACACATATCTATCTAGTGCTAGCCCACATGAAAGGAAGGTCACCATCCTGAGGCAATGTGATCCAATATCAGTCATATGTTCAGTCAGACACAACCTTAGAGTGAAACCAAGTTGCAGCACATACAAAACCAAGAGACTTGGTTGAATGAAGGTGTTTTCTTCAGTGAGTCTCTATAGACAGTGAGGTCCTAGAGAACCTGAAACCATTTTAGAAGATAGGTCAATAAGACAAAGACCAAAGCTCTGATTCTTTGTGTCACCCAAGTGACCCACATGATGATCTTATGATTCTGATTAAATAGTACGATGTCATTTTATCCCCAAGTATGTTCCAGCACCAGGCAGCCTCTAGGTCCCTCTGAGTAGGCAGACTTTGCATTCCAGTGACAGACATCATTAAGAAAATATTTCTACTCTCCAAACCAGAGGGAGGAGAATGCTGGAATTTATTATCTCCTTATGCTTAAACACATCCCAGAACAACTTAATAAGGCAAAAATTCTCCCCATTTTACAGACGAGCAAATTGAGGATTAAAGAAGATTATGCTTTCCCCATGGTTCAAAGCTAAATCTGAAATTATAAACCTGCCTCTCTGGACTCCAAAGCCAGTCTTATTCTAACACTGTTCCTTCCTGACTGGTTCCTTTTAGCATTCAGATCTCCTTGGTGTTAAGCCAGCGAAGAATGGCTCTCCCCCCACAAGTTGAGCATAAACTCTGAAGAGCTTAGTTTAGCCCTCTGGGAGGTATTCTCTCTTGGATCTCTGATGCAGAGTTTGGTTGCAAAGTTGGATCCATGTATGAGGGAATGACGCTGCTGGGGATTGGTGGAGAGTCCACTGGTCTGACGCCAGCTGGCTCAGGGGACCATCTCTCCTCCCTTTCCTGGAGCAAGCAGTGTTATGTCTGGCCATGCTTCTCTGCTTTGATGCCCATTTCCACAGTCATTTCAAGTCTTCCCACTCCTCAAACTGAGCATTTAGACTCTCATGGATCACCCCTTTGATATTTCTAGCCACGTAGCTTCAGCTTCAAAAACAAATCAGGAATGACATTCTGTGACTATATTTTCAGCTATAGCTCATAATTTGGTTTAAAACTTGTCATTGTCTAAGAAACATATCCCTGTGCAGAGAACCCGTTGGACACCCGGATGAAATTGACTAAATAAAAGCAGTTTCACTGAACAATTTGCAAATATCACTGCTTCTTGCCAATCCTTTTTGGCAAAACTGTCTTCAGTGACTCGAGAGTTTTTCCAGCCTGAAAGAAATTTGAGTTACCTTATGCTTTCCTCTCTACATTTTTCTGATATAATACTTCCATTAAAGCCACATGTCTCAGACAATGGAAATATCATTTAGCAAAACACTAACATTAATTTTGCAGGAGATATTATTCAGTATTTTGTTGTTGTTGTTTGTTTTGTTTTGGGACACAGTCTCACTCTGTCGCCCAGGCTAGAGTTCAGTGGCGTGATCTTGGCTCACTGCAACCTCCACCTCCCAGTTCAAGCGATTCTCCTGCCTCAGCCTCCCAAGTAGCTGGGATTACAGGTGACCACAGCCACACCTGGCTAATTTTTGTATTTTTAGTAGAGACAGAGTTTCACCACGTTGGCCAGGCTGGTCTCAAACTCCTGATCTCAGATGATCTGCCCACCTTGACTTCCTAAAGTGCTGGGATTACAGGCACGAGCCACTGCTCCAGCCTCAGTTCTCCACCCCGCCCCCGCCACAGGAAGATGGACCTAATTTTAGAGCCAAAAGCAATATTCATTAAAGATAGTTTGCACAGCACAGTCAAGGTATGCTTGCACTCGTGTGGTGATAGGCAAGAAGGAGTTACTTGAGCCATATTTCCTGAGGAAAAATGATGAGGTATTTTCTGTCCCATCAAGGTTGAAAGTGCAGGAAGGGTCTTTGGGATAGGAAAGAAATAGGGCAGGAAGTGTAATTGTGAAACTCCTGGCATGGACATCAACAGCCAAGGTTTCTAGTTTAAATCTAACTAACAATGGGTAGTGTTTTGTTATAAATTAAATATGAAGATATGCTCACAACATTAAGCAAAATTAAGTTAAAATTTAAGAAGGGAATTTACAGAAAAGAAAAGAAAAGAAGAACTAGACAAAAATCACAGCCCTTGTGGAGCTTACATTATTTCTTAGATGAGTCACTTGGCTAGTTTAAGACTTGGAATTTTTATCTATAAGATTGGGTGAAGAGGAAGAAGCACAACCTAAATTAGTACTTCCGTGACTGTGTGCCAGACCCCACACGAAACTCAAGACAATATGTCATTAGCCCAATTTTCCACTTGACAAACACCATAGCTCCTTCATTTACTCATTATTTTGAGACATATTTTAGTGGCACTTATTCAGGGAAGCCGCCATTAAGGAATAAAACAATCCCTTTCCTTCCTTTACAAAGCTGCTAGTCTACTGGCTGAGATCACATGTGAACAGCTGGACCAGGAAGTCTGGACTCCTCCCAGTGCCCTGTTGTAGTGAGGACAGTCTCCGTTGAGGCCTGATCTTCAAGCATAATTACTACTGGCTAGTGTGCTGGTTTGGATGATCAGTTATATGCTTACCCTCCCCAAGATTCACAGGGTTTCTTCGAGGACTTAGAGCTACACTATTTTTTCGGAGACCCAAGTGAAACCAGGCCAGGAAAACAGCCAAAAGTTTCAGTCCAACAGATTCTTTAAAAGTTTCTGGAATAAACACTTTGCTGGCCCATAGGAGACATAAAAGTTTGGAGCTTTTAAAAGGTGCTTATGAGACAATCTAAGCCAGAATGCTCAGCTAACAGATGAGAGGAGAGGCCCAGCTCAACATGAATAAACAGCAGACCCATGGAAATAACCAAGTTTTCTACACTCCTGTCCATTCTTCCCTCAGTCTTTTTAATGTCTCCATTTGAGCATGGTCATCAAAAGGATGCGTAAGAGCAATGGAGTACGGGAATCTTGCAAGATGGTGCTGTCCGTACTTTGAGGGCATTTCTGCAGGGAGAGAAAGAACCAAACTTCCCACTGAAGAAGAGTCTACAAGACTAACCTGCTTTCCTTCATTCTTTCAGTTCACTTTTTTTTGTTTTTGATTGATGTTTTTATTTTTTTATTTTAAGACGTCTCTGTCGTCCAGGCTAGAGTGCAATGGCATGATCTTGGCTCACTGTACCCTCCACCTCCCAGGTTCAAGCGATTCTCCTGCCTCAGCCTCCCAAGTAGCTGGCATTACAGGTGCCCGCCACTGTGCCCAGCTAATTTTTTGTATTTTTAGTAGAGACAGGGTTTCACCATGTTGGCTAGGCTGGTCTTGAACTCCTGACCTCAGGTGATCTGTCCACCTCAGCCTCCCAAAGTGCTGGGATTACAGGCATGAGCCACCATGCCCAGCCTTCAATTTGCTTTTAAATTATTAGTTTTTTTCTTTTGCAAAAGTACGGTGAGTTTTTTTTGACAGTAGAATACATACTAAAATGTAATTATATAGATATATAATACATATCAAACCCCTAATTCTACCACAAACAGATAAGCCTGATTAAACTCCCAGGGATATATCCTGACAGGCATTAACTATGCTTACATATACTTTGTTACTATAATAAGATCACACTGTTCATATTATTAAGCAGTCTTTTTTTTTTTTTTAATTTGTTGATTTGTTTCTAAACCCATTTGACCATATGTCTCATCTTACTGGTATGGTTCTTTGAGTCTTTGAAAGGTGATTTGTGGAGGACAAGAAAGGCTTTGTAGGCACTCCCTGCCCTCATCCTTGGAATATCCCTTCCCCGATCTTCTCCTGATGCCAGGAATTCCATTAGCGAGTCCGCATGTGTGTTGATGCACGGATTAGCAGGCAGATGCATGCAGGAGAGGTCGACATGAGGCCCTAATCAGTAATTGAAATCATAGCCAGTGTAGCTGATGGGATCCTACTCAGCAGGCAGCTGGAGAGGAGGTTTCTGGCAGGCGGGAGAAAGGACCCAGAATGGAGCGTGATTTGTGTGTCACTAGGAGGAAAGTGAAGCGAGAGCTCCAGATACTTCTCCTCTGGAAGCCCAGCAGGGGAAGGTGAAGGAGCTACACGAAATATTTGAACTTAGAAACTCCAAAAGGAGGAGCCCAAGAGAATGCAGAGTAGAGGAAAAACAAACAAACAAAAAACCCAGAAAACTCACCCTGCCAAGAGGGAACCTTTCATGAGTGCCCTCAGCTTTGTTATTAAAATTGCAGTCATAATAATATTGCTGTTCATATCATTCATTCATTTACTGATTTGGTGGTTTATTTGCCACAATTTATGCAAAGCCTGTGGTGTGCCAGGCATTTCCCCACATGCTGGCTTGAGCTAATGAGCACAGCAGACATGGTCCTGCCTGATGCCATGCTGACAACCCAGTGCTGAAGTTGGACTTTTAACACACAGACACACAGATAATTACATAATTAAAACTCCTTATAAGTGCTAAGGGTAAAGGAGGGAAATCACAATGTCTTATAAGACAGAATAACAGAACAAGACATAACTTAGACTGCAGGGTCAGGATGGCCTGTTGACCCAGTGATATTTAAAGGAAATCTGCAGAATGAATAAGAATCAAGCAGTCAAATCCACAAGAAAGGGCTCTCCAGGGTGTGAAGAGCCTGAATAAAGGCCTGGAGGCAGGAAAGAGTACAGCTCAATGGAAGGTCAGAAAGTCTGTTTAATGTGGCTGGAGTTTCTCCAGCAGTTAGAGGGGTAGGTAGGGGTGAAGGCCCTATAGGCTCTCTGTTAAGGATTTTTGGTGTTTGAAGAATTTTCTGCAGAAAAGTGACATTTCTCAATTTATTTATTTTTAAAATAATTCTAACTATGGAGAATTTTTATCCAATACATTCTTCACTTATTTCTTGTTCATTACCACTCTATAAGCAAGATAAGAAAATAAATACCTATTTAAAAAAAAAAAACTAGAATATGGGTGTTATCTCTCTGAGTTTAGTCATTACTCCATGGAAATTTTCTGAAATTCTGAAAAGGTAGATCTATTCTCAGCAAGGCCAAAGTTGTGCTTCTGCCTAAATAATGGCTCATATTTCTGGAACACTTATTATTTGCTACATGTTTTATTGTGCACATGTACCCTAGAACTTAAAATATAATTATATATATATATATATATATATAAAAGAAATTTGTATAGATGTTTCTCTTTTAATTTTTTTAAAATGAAATTCTTATAGCAACCCTATGCAGGAAATGTGATTATTCTTATTTGACAAACGAGTGTCTTAACAGACTCACTCCATCCCCACAATAAAGCAGAATCCCTTTACCTGGACTCTGTGCTACTGCTAATTTTGCTTCAGGCTATTGTCCCGGGAAGCCCGTGGGTCCAAATGTCTCGTGCATTCCTAAAATGGTTTAAATCTGGGCTCAAATAATTTGAGCTACAGGTCAGACTGTGGACCTTTAAAACAGCTTTCTCATCTGTCTAGAGAAAGTACTTCAGTATGTGAGGGGAAGTTTCTGGGTGTCTAGAAAACCTTATCAGGATTGGGGGATGCTTATCAGCTGCTTTTGTCTACTGCTGCCTGGGCTCCAGTGACAGCTGATGTCTTACAAAGGGATAACGTTGGTTGGGGATACTCACTGACAGCAGCAAGACTGGCAGTAATCTCAACCTTTGCCTTCAGACTAGAGCAGACCTCATCAATCAACCTATCCATCAATGTATGGGTACCTGTTAAGACGTTCAGGATCCAGTTGTAAGGTAATACTTAGGTTCAACAGAAAAATACCATTTCCTGGATAGCAAGGCAAACATTCTTGCAAGGGAAAATGAAATCAATTTATACTGTTCCACTTAACAATAATTAGAAAAAATATGAACTGCAAACAGTAAATTACAAAACAACCTAAGCAATTCTAAAAAGACAATTTTAAAGAAATAACTGTTTTTTTTTCAGTGTTTTCCACAAGATCTCTGTTTGTTGTGTGTACACACACAGATATGCAGATAAGCCCACGGGATCTCAAACTGATTTATATAGATGGTCATCACTTCAATTCTATAAATTTTTCTTTTTGTACAAATTAAGTCTAGGGGGACACATAAAACATATCAGTTATTTGGGTGTTTACTTTTATTAATAACATTTATATATATTCAATTATAGTTCAAAAATAGTCTGGGATAAGTTGAAACAAAAATTTTAAAGCCCTACCTGACAAATACAACAGATTTTGCTATTCTGGAAAATTGCAATTTTTTTCTTCATCATACTTTTTGAACTTTTATTGATTGTTGTTCAAATAGAATGCTTGTTCATAAATCAAAATTCAGAAAAGAGTTTAAGAACAAAAGGTGCAACTAGACCAAAATGCAAATAAAGCTATTTTCAGAGGTAATATATTTTTTCAGTCTGTTAAATCTATGCATTTGTTAATGTAAGCATTAAAATGGTATATAGATAACTTTTACCTTTGGCCACTTATCAAGTTTTATTACACTGACACTTTTCTATGTTGTTATATTATTATTAAAAATATCTTTTTAGATATTAGTCCTTTGTCAGATGTACAGACTATGAAAATTTTCTCCCACTCTGTGGGTTGTCTGTTTACTCTGCTGATTGTTCCTTTTGCTGTACAGAAGCTCTTTAGTTTAATTAAGTCCCACCTGTTTATCTTTGTTTTTGTTGCATTTGCTTTTGGATTCTTGGTCAAGAAGTCTTTGCCTAAGCCAATGGCTAGAAGGGTTTTTCTGATGTTATTTCTAGCATTTTTATAGTTTCATGTCTTATATTTAAGGCCTTGGTCCATCTTGAGTTGATTTCTGTATAAAGTGGGAGATGAGCATCCAGTTTCAATCGCCTACATGTGGCTTGCTAATTATTTCAGCATGATTTATTGAATAGGGTGTCCTTTCCCCACTTTACGTTTTTGTTTGCTTTGTTGAGGATCAGTTGGCTGTAAGTATTTGAGTTTATTTCTGGGTTCTCTATTCTGTCCCATTGGTATATGTTCCTATTTTTACACCAGTACTGTGCTGTTTTGGTGACTATGGCCTTACAGCATAGTTTGAAGTCAGGTAAACTCAAACTAATTAGCAAGAAAAAATCCCATCATAAAATGGGCTAAGGACAATTCTCAAAAGAATATATGAAATTGCCAACAAACATATGAAAAAATGCTCAAAATCACAAATGATCAGGGAACTGCAAATCAAAACCACAGTGTGATACGATATGTATACTATCATATCATATGTATGCACTATATAGTATACATATATACTATACTATAGTATATATAGTATATATACAGTGTATATACTATATACTATATAGTATATATTATATATATAGTATATATAGTACATATAATATACTATATAGTATATATCCTATATATGGTATAATATACAGTATATAATATATACCATATATATTATATAATATATAATATATACCATATATATTATATAATATATAATATAAACCATATATATTATATTTTATATAATATAATATATTATACATTATATTGTATTATATTTTATATAATATAATATACATTATATTGTATTATATTTTATATAATATAATATACATTATATTGTATTATATTTTATATAATATATATTATATTGTATTATATTTTATATAATATATTATACATTATATTGTATCATATTTTATATAATATAATATAATATATATTATATTGTATCATATATTATCTAATTATATATATTATATATGAATATTATATATATAATATATATAATATACATTATATATCTAATATATATTATATATAATATATAATTATATCTAATATATATATTATATATAATATATATAAAATATAAGTTATATAATGTATATATAATATATAATATATAATATATATAATTATATAAAATATATATAATTATATAAATATATATAAAATATATATATATAATATATAATTATATATCATATTATATATATTTATATATATATATACTATATTATATATACTATATGTACTATACTATACTATATTATACAGTATATAATATATATTATCTAATATATAATTACATAATATATATTTATATACATTTATATATAATATATATTATATATAATATATACATAATTATATATATAAGTATACATATATTATATATATGTATTATATATACATTATATAATTTATATTTTATATAATATATATTATATATTATCAGATATAATATATATTATATCTGATAATATATTATTAGATATATATATTATATTAGATAATATATTATCAGATATAATATATATTAGATATATATATTATTAGATACAATGTATATTATATTAGATATATATATTATTAGATATAATATATAATATATTAGATATATTATTAGATATAATATATAATATATTAGATATATTATTAGATATAATATATAATATATTAGATATATTATTAGATATAATATATAATATATTAGATATATTATTAGATATAATATATAATATATTAGATATATATTATTAGATATAATATATAATATATTAGATATATATTATTAGATATAATATATATTATGTTAGATATAATAATATATTATATCTAATATATATTATTATATCTAATATATATTATATTAGATATAATAATATATTATTATATCTAATATATTATTATATCTAATATATTATTATATCTAATATATTATTATATCTAATATATATTATATTGATATAATATATTATTATATCTAAGATATTATATCTAATATATTAGATATAATAATATATTATTATATCTAAGATATTATTATATCTAATACATATTATATTAGATATAATATATTATTATACCTAATATATTATATCTTATATATATTAGATATAATATATATTAGATCTAATATTTATTATATCTAATATATATTAGATATATCTATATATATATATATATATCTAATATTTATTAGATCTAATATATATTAGATTAGATATAATAATATATATTATATATGATGTATATTATATATTATATCTAATATATTATATATTAGATATATAATGTATATTATATACAATATATTATATGTATATTATATGTAATATTCATATATAAGATATAATTAGATAATATATAATACAATATAAAATATTATATTATATTATATAAAATATAATATACTATATATACTATATACTATAGTATATACTATGTATAATATAGTATATATTATATATAGTATATATTATATATACTGTATATAGTGTGTATATATTATTGTGTATTTTATATATTGTATTTATATATAAATATATAGTACATTATATATACATTGTATATATTTATAGTGTATATATATAGTATATATACACAATAATATATACACACACACACCCACACACAATGGAATACTACTCAGCCATAAAAAGGAACACATTAATGGCATTCACAGCAACCTAGATGGAACTGGAGACTAGTGTTCTAAGTGCAGTAACTCAGGAATGGAAAAACAAACGTCATCTGTTCTCACTCATAAGTTGGAGCTAAGCTATAAGGATGCAAAGGCATAAGAATGATACAATGAACTTTAGGGACTTGGACAGAAGGATAGGAGGCGGGTGAGGGATAAAAGACTACAAATTGGATTCAGTGTATACTGCTTGGGTGATTTGTGCACTAAAATTTCACAAATCACCACTAAAGAACTTACTCATGTAACCAAGTACCACCTGTTTCCCAAAAACCTATGGAAATAAAATTTTTAAAAAAGAATAAGTATATCATTTTAGTTATTTAATATGGTTTTATCAAGTGGGTGAACAAAGGATAATTTACTCCTCTATTGCTGAGGATGTAAGTCGTTTCTAAGTTTACATATTTATAAACAGTTCTATGATTATTGTATTTCTATGGAAAATATGCTACATATATATTACTTTCCAAAAAAATAACAGAAATGGCATTACTATGAAGAAAATAATTAACACATTGAGTGATTTTTAAATTAATTTTCAACTGTGGTTTACTGGTTTATCATCTCTTGCATGGTTTTTCTCTTTTTTTGGTTTTTTTTGAGAGAGAGTCTCGCTCTATCCCCCAGGCTGGAGTGCAGTGGCACAACATTAGCTCACTGTAGTCTCCAACTTCCAGGTTCATGTGATTCACCCGCCTCAGCCTCCCTGTAATTGAGTAGCTGGGATTACAGGTGTGTACCACCACACCCCGCTACTTTTTTTGTATTTTCAGTAGAGACAGGGTTTCGCTATGTTAGCCAAGCTGCTCTGGAACTCCCGTCATCAAAAGATCTGCCCACCTCAGCCTCCCAAAGTGCTGGGATTACAGGCGTGAGCCACCATGCCTGTCCAGCTTCTTAATCAAAACAGATTATTATTTTTTAAATGGTTCTAGGTTTAAAACAGTTAAAGTAATTCATATTTCATTATTTTTCATTACTAGTTATCAAACTTTGCTTTCCATGTGCCTATTTATGCTTATCTTTAACTATAAATGATTGGTGTGTGTCCCTTGTTCATTGTGTACTGAGGTCCTATGGTTTTTTATTAGCTTAGTTAATATTTTTGTATGCTAAAAAATCAGCTCTTTGTCTACTATCTACATTGAGAATATATTTCTAGTCTGATTTTTTGCTTTTATTTTTAATTACCTTTATTTCTCACAGCAGTTTTGGGTTTACAGAAAAATGGCAAACATGGTGCACAGTTCCCAAATAGCCCTCAACCAGTTAATATCTTACAGTAAGATGGCATATTTTTTACAATTAATGAATCAATATTGATATATTACTACTAATTAAAGTCCATACTTTATTCAGAGCCCTGTATTTGTTACCTAATATCCTTTTTCTCTTCTGGAATCCCATCCAGGATATAACATTACATTTATTTGTAATGTTGTCTTATGCTCCTTTGGCTGTGACAGTTTTCTCAGACTTTCCTTGATTCTGATGACCTTAAGAGTTCTGAGGAGTATTGGTCAGACAATTTTTTTTTTTTTTTTGAGACAGAGTCTTGCTCTGTCACCCAGGCTGTAGTGCAATGGCACAATCTCGGCCCACTGCAACCTCCTCTTCCTGGGTTCAAGCGATTCTCCTGCCTCAGCCTCCTGAGTAGCTGAGATTACAGGCGAACGCCACCACGCCCTGGTATTTTTAGTAGAGACGGAATTTCACTATGTTGGCCAGGCTGGTCTCAAACTCCTGACCTCGTGATCCTCCCACCTCGGCCTCCCAAAGTGCTGGGATTACAGGCATGAGCCACCAAGCCCCGCCCAGACAATTTTTAATACATTGCTCAGTGGGTCTGACTGGGGTTTTGGAGAGGAAGAACACAGAGGTAAAGTGCTATTTTCATTATATCATATCAAGGATACAGACCATTAACACGACTCAACTTATCACTGTCAATGTTGACTTGATCACCTGGCTAAAGTAATGCTTTTCAAATCTCTCTCCTGCAAAGTTACTATCCCTCTATTCCTTTCCATACTGTGATCTTCAGGAGAAAGTCACTATGCACAGACCACACTAAGATGTTGGAGGTTATATGCGACCTTCTAAAGGATGGAGGATCTATATACTTTTTTGGGGGATTTTTCTGCATTGGAGATTTATCTTTTCTTTCTTTCTTAATTTTTTATCTATAGCAGTATGAATTCATGGATATTTATTGTGTACTTTGGGCTACAATCTAATACTCCTTTACTTAGTTGCATAGATTGTTCCAGATTTGGCCATTGGAAACTCTTTTAATTGGCTCTTGTGTCCTTTTGACATTGGGTCTCTTGCTTTTTAAATTGGGCTGTTTTTTGTGCATACCTGTCAGTTCATTTGTGAAATGTGTGTGGAAATTTTGCCTGTGGATGTGTATGGGTTTTAATTTATCATCTTACTGATGTTGATAATGGGATAGACAGAGAAATCACATAAGAAACCCTGAAGCAATATGATATCAGCTTTATTTGATGGGTAAAGTAGCTTTCATTGAAATCAAACAGACCTAGATTTGAAAACCACTATGGGAGATTATTACAGTAATAGCCATCAATAAATTATGCTTCCTAAAATATGTTATGAAAATCATTCTCCCCCGCCGCCCCCCGACCAGCAGATTGACTGTAGGCTTGATAATGTAAATTTCTTTGGCTAACGAGATGTAAGCTAACTTGACACAGAGAGGCTTGATAAGCACTTGCACACAAACTTGAAGTCTTGGAATTCTGTGACCACTCTGTAAGAACACTAGTGCTATCCTGCTGGAAAGGACATGAGAAAAAAGACAAACATCTCAGCTGAAATCCCAGTTCATTAGGCATGCGAATGCAGCCATCTTGCAATAAATAGCCTCACTCACCATCTAATAACTATGCACACATACTTGACTCAAGGAGAATTTAGCAGAAGAGCTACTTAGCTGAGCCCAGTCCAAAAATGAGTGTGCAAATAAATTGTTGCTTATAATTCAATATATTGTTAGTTTATTATATTGAAAAGGTTAGCAGACTTAAGACCTAGTTCCAGAAGTGGACTTCAAAGCTATGTGGATAAGGAATACTAGTTTTTGTAATTTCAGTTTATTACTTTAGCTCCCTGAACTTCAGTTGTCCATCTATTGCATAGGAATAATAATACCTACCTACTCTTTTTTCTTTTTCTTGAGATGGAGTTTCGCTCTTGTTGCCCAGGATGGAGTGCCACGGCACCATCTCGGTTCACTGCAATCTCTGCCTCCCAGGTTCAAGCAATTCTCCAGCTTCAGCCTCCCAAGTAGCTGGAATTACAGGCATGTGCCACCATGCCTGGCTAAATTTTTTTGTATTTTTAGTAAAGACAGGGTTTCTCTGTGATGTTCAGGCTGGTCTCGAACTCCTGACCTCAAGTCATCCACCTGCCTTGGCTCCCAAAGTGCTGGGGTTACAGGCGTGAGCCATCATGCCAATGAAATCATGCTTATCAAGTGTCCCACCGAGAGCTGGAATGCTGAAGTGGCTCAGACCTTATCCTCAGCCATTTCCTAAAACACAATCACTAAAATGTTCCTTCCTTTCCCAAACATGCTGTTAGATAAATCAGAGTCCAATTGCAATAAAGAAGATTGCAAATTAAGCTTATTCAATGCAGCAGGAATGGAATATGAACCACTGTCTCATCCACAAAAAATGTGACCCCAGAAGTGTGCCACCTGATTGCTATCTGGGACATTTTGACAGGCCTTCTAGTGCCATTTCTAAATGGAACCATCAAAGCATTTTATTCCAGATATCTGAAGCCAAACTCAGCCTCTCTTCCTCATTTCCCATCTCCTAGAAATAATTCTGAAGGCAAGGTTGTGCTTTAATGTGTAGATTTTATGTGAGAAAATAGGTGTCTTGAAAACAAAGATATATAGGCATAGCATGAGAAAATCCAGCATTGCAGAAGAGTACATGTGACTGGGAGATAGGGACAGAGACTCAACACTCTGTTCTTTCTGGTGAGAGGAAAGTTACGCAGAAAGAGTCTGGGTTTAGTTATGGTTTTGTACTAGCATTTAAGACTGAGGCTCATCACTAACTTACCTCTAATGTTTTTTCTCTATCATTCTATTATGTATTAATGTCTTCAAATAGACAGATTGAATGTAATTGGTTATGTCTCATGACATATTAAGAAAAATGGTATTCAAATTTTGACCCACTAGAAAGTAATTATTTAAATTGTCAGAGTCATAGTGCTTTTTCATCTGCCAAATTTGTATTAGGCAACTTAATTTCTTAAATCAGACTCAGGGTCTTAACATACACATATGGCACATACACACTTATAAAGAAACACTGACACATATGCATGAATAACCATGCATAAGCATTCACCCAGGTACACATATAAAAATACACACCCTCCTTCACAAATACAGACATTTCCATCATCGCCATCATTGCCATTATTGAGTGACTGCAGGAGTTTTATATAACTTTCTCACATACTTTTAGCAGGCCTCACCCATGGGTAAGACAAGCTGATGTGGTACTGTCAGAACCCCCAGTGAGTACCGAGATATGGGCATCCGGGTGGTGAGCATCACAGAGCACCTTGGGGGAAGGGAGTCCAATATTCATCGGACTCCACTTGTCCTTTCACTCTCCTCCATAAAAATATGCCATATTGACTCTCAAAAGAGGGCAACCAAAAAGAACCAGATGTGACAGGTTCTGGTTCTACCTCTTTCACTACCTTTTCTTGTGACTTTGTACAAGTCACTTTCCTTCTTGGAACATTAGTTTCTGGTGGGGACTTCCAGTTCCAGCCAAGATGGAGTAGGCTCACAATATCCTGTCTCTCCTACTGACTATAACTAAAACCTATGGATAGAATGCAAAAAGCAAATACCTACAATCTCTGAGAAGGATACAGGTTGATCGGGAAAAGAAGTCAGAATTTGAAGAATGACCAATATCGCAGGGGTATTCTTTTTTTCTCCTTTGTCTCCCAGTTTTGATCCAAGAACAAAACTGCACAGCAGATGTGGAGAGCAAAACCTTTGAGAGACTCTAGCCAGAAAAGGGGTTCCTGTGTACCAAAGAGCATGGGATCCCTATGAACAAGAGACACACAATTTTTTTTTCTCTCCCAGTTATGCCCAGAGGCCAGCTTGAATTGCTGTGTGATGGTGGCAGCAATGCAGAGGGTTGAAAAGTAAAGCCCCAAAAGAAGAAGCCATCTCTGAGGTCAGGTAGTCTGTGCTTCGAAGAGTGTGTTTGTTAGTGGGGGAGGCCAGAAGCCATATTGTTTTTTCTCTATTTTTCTCTGATTGTATTGCCCCGAGGTCAGCCTCAGATATGTGGGAATGGCCAGCAGCAGATAAACCCTCTGAAGAACATTGCTTTCTGGTTAGAAAAACAAAACAGGGGAAAAGATTGTTGAGAGCTGGAAAACTTGGGTGTATTAACCACCAGAAATCTCAAGTTCATGCCTGAGGTGCACTTGCACAGAACAGATCTAAGAAACACAGCAAAGTTTCCAAGAACTGAGTTAGAATATCAACCATCACCCAAGGTTGGTGACAGTTTACACAGTCAAACGAACTCCTGAGGGATGCAGGACAGGGTCATTGCCAAGACTGGAAACAGAACTTAGGTTGGACCCTCCAAAGGCAAGGCAGAGCTTGTTGTGATCTGTACCTAACCAAAACTGTCAAAACAAAACACATCAGTGTCCTCCAGATGATTTTAACGGAGTTAGAGTCTCACAATACAATATTTAACCATCCATAATACAGTCCAAGATGAATTGACATAAAAGGAACCAGAAAATTGTGAAGAATTCTTAGGGGTAGGCCTTGGTGCACTATAGTCCATGCAGCAAATTTGTACTAGCACCAGGATTAGTATGGCTCTGAAGATAAGAATAATTTGTACATTTCTTAATGATTGAAAAAATCAGAAAACTATTTGTAAAACGTGAATATTTTATGTCAGTCAAATTTCAGTATCTATGTCTAATGTTTTATCGGAATACAACTACACTCATTCATTCATGTGTTGTCTGCTGCAGCTTTCATGCTGCAATGTCAGAGTTGAGAAGTTGCCGCAGAGACGATATGTCCCACACAGCTAAAAACAATTACTATCTGACCCTTGACAGAAAAAGTGTGCCGATCCTCACCACAGAAAAACAGAATCCCAATAAATATCCATGCTTGAGATGACCTAGATGTTGGAATTACCAGACAAAGACTTTAACGTAGATATTATAGTCACATTCAATGAGATAAGGATTAGTGTATAGAAAGATAGAGGTTCTCAAAAAACAACTCTAAAAACAGAACCAAATTGAAATTTTAGAATTGAAAAATGCAGTGTCTTAAGCAAAGATAGTCACTAGATAGAATCAATAACAGAATGGAGATAAGAGAAGAAAAAGTAAGCTTACAGATACATCAATTAAATTATTCAAACTGAAGAATATAAAGAAAAAAATGAGTGGGGGTGAAGGAGAAAGAATACTGCTTCAGAAACTCAAGACAATACAAAAAGGTCCACTATTCTTGTCACTGGAGTCCGAGAGGAAGTGAGAAATAGATTGGGTTAGAAAAAAATTTGAAGTAATAATTATTTTCTCCCAAATTTGGTGAAAGACATATATTTACAGGTTCAAGAAGTTCAGGAAACTCTAAACATAATAAACTCAATAAAACGCTGCCCAGACACATCACACTGAAACTCATGAAAACCAAGATAAAAGGAAGGGGTTGAAGCAAATAGTTACTAAAATACTCAATGAAATACTACATTAAAGAGATAAAGAGGTTGGTCACAGAGTGAGGAATCTGAACTAAAGACAGAAAGTTATGGTTGTAAAAAACTAAATATTTTGGCACCTTAAACCCTCACACATAGCATTTTTACCCCAGGAAAATGAAGGCCAGGAAGATTGAATTACTTGGGCAAAGTATTAATAACTCTCAGGCAAGTGGGCAGGAAGGAAGAAAGGAGGGAGGGAGGGAGGGAGGAAAAGAGGAAGGGAGGAGGAAGAAACAGAAATCTTTGCTGAGTGGAGGAGGTTAGCAGGAATCTTAACACTGACTCAGTACCATATGCTTTTCCTTAGAGGTAAGAAGAATATAGTGATCTTCACAAGATGAGTATTTTAGGAGAAAGCAATGCTCTCTGAAGCAACTCGCTTGAGGGCTAGGACATCCAGACATCCACCGCCCGGGCAGTGGTCAGAATCAAAAAGACGTGGTGCATGCTTGCGAGGAACTATAGAAAGGAGCCCATGAAATATTTTTGCTTCCTTGGAGAATTTTGCTGAAGTGATGTTTAAATGGGTAGGGGTGGGGAACAGTGTCTTCATTTTTACACAAGGACAAAACTGTTGGAAAATTCAATCCTAAAAGATGTAGCACTCATTTCAGTGCCAGGAAAAATTAGACAAACTGTTTGTTGATATTATGTAGCCAGAAAAAGAAAAATCAGACAATGGATTTTAAGCTAAACTCACAAATACTTTGGCAGAGTATGGTTTCTCCTTTTCCTCTACATCCTCCTCCTCATTCTCTTCCTCCTCTTGCTTCTATTTCTCTTCTTCTGTCTTTCATTTTTCATCTTCTTTTTTTAACTTTTATTTTCAGTTCAGGGGTACAAGTGCAGGTTTGCTATATAGGTAAACTTGTAATGTGGGGGTTTGCTGTACAGATTATTTTTGTCACACAGGTATTAAGCCCAGTATCCATTAGTTATTTCTCCTGATCCTCTCCCTCCTCTGACCCTCCACCCTCCAATAGATCCCAGTGTGTGTTGTTCCCCTCTATGTGTTCATGTGTTCTCATCATTTAGCTCTCACTTATAAGTGAGAACACGTGGTATTTGGTTTTCTGTTCCTGCATTAGTTTGCTAAGGATAATGTCCTTCAGCTCCATCCATGTTCCTGCAAAGAATATGATCTTGTTCTTTTTTATGGCTATGTAGTATTCTATGGTGTATTAAAAAAGTGGGCAGAGGATGTGAACAGACACTTTTCAAAAAAAGACATACATGCAGCCAATAATCATAGGAAAGAAAGCTCGACATAATCAAAAATGCAATTAGACACCATCTCACACCAGTCAGAATGGTTATTAATAAAAAGTCAAAAAATAACAGCTGCTGGCAAGGTTGTAGAGAAAAAGGAAAGTTTATTCACTCTTGGTGAGAGTGTAAATCAGTTCAACCACTGTGGAAGACAGTGTAGTGATTCCTCAAAGACCTAAAAAGAGAAATATCATTCAACCCAGCAATCCCATTACTGGGCTTATACTGAAGGGAATATAAATCATTCTAATATAAAGACACATGCATTCATATGGTCATTATGGTACTATTCACAATAGCAAAGACATGGAATCAACCTAAATGCCCATCGGTGGTAGACTGGATAAAGAAAATGTGGTACATATTTTTTTCTCCTCTTCCTTTTCCTTCTTCATGCATCACTCTCAAACACACACACAAGCACACACACACATGCACATACACACACACCCTAGTGAGGATTTAAGGGGTGGGCTTTGATTTCCATACCCACATTGGAGACTGTAACATACCAGAGTGGTCCAAAAGAAGTCCACATTTCATGAGGAACTACTTAGGTCTTCTTGAGGAAATGTTGAAGAAGCTTTTCAACCTAATATTTGGAATCTAAAACTTTAGAGCTTCAGATAATAAAGAGGCAGAAGAGATTCAGTTTGGTAAAAGTATTCTGAGATCCTGAGAGTCACTCTGCAGCACAGAGTGAAATCTTGTCAAGGTCCCTGGCTCTGTGTCAGTGACTTGGGACTCAATTGACTTTCAGTGAAGACCCAGAGTAATCTATGTAAATATCTTAGGAGTAGTGAGCAAGACATCTGAAGGAACACTCTCACTTGTTGGTGGGACTTTCTTACTCCTCCAAGAGTAAGGAGGAAAGAGACTCTGCAAAGACAGCCAAAGAAGGCATTAGAAACCCTGGCTGCACAAGGCAGGCATCAGAAGCCCCTGGTATGGCAACTTCCATTCATGTTGTCAGGTGGCTGGCACCACTCTAGGCAGGGAGAACAAGAGTGGAATGGGTGGCAGATATAGGATGTATTTAAATTCAGCCAAATAAAATGTTTCAGGTTCTCAAGCTTCTTCTAGAACAAGAGACAGAGCATAACACCCTTGAAGCTCCTCTGATTTGTCTTTGTGCAGAGATGGTACAAACTTCCATTTGTAGCCCTGCTATAAAATACAGGCATATCCTTGATGTTGCTGTTTTCTGGGGGAAGAAAGGATCAACTCTGTATCACTGTTCCCTGCATAGAATAACTAAAACAGAATGCCTCATAGCGTGTAAAGGTATTTCGAACAAGAACAGTATTAAAAAAAAATTCTCAAAACCTCCAGTTTATTTTTCCAAGCCTAGGTTGATCTGGCCTAATCTTTTTCCATGGGACATTTTCCTCTGTTCTGTCTTTTTTGGCTCCAGACTCAATATAAAAAAAATATTGTTTAAAAAATGAAACAGATGGCTGACATCATAAGGAAAGACCTGACGGGGTTTCTGGAAAGGACGTAGAGGTCCAAGGATTGTTTTGAAACTTTTCCTGCTCTTGTCCTTGAGGACAAAAACTGGGAGGAAAGAGGTGGAGAGGTGATATAAAACTGATTAGAATTTGGCAGGGGAAAAAAAAACACAAACTCCTGGAAGATAGGCACATTCTATAGACTTGGCTGAAAAATCTTGTTTCTCCAATTTTGCTGAGATATACAATATAATTTTATCTTATTTATTGTCACTATTATTATTATTATTATTGAAGGAAGCTGAGTTAGAAGAACTTGCCTTGAGTAATAATTAGAAGAACATAACAAGATGCTTCTCTACTGACTTCCAGCGAGAAGATTCTATATAATTGTTCTATTGACAGTGTTTTGAGAGATGTGACGCTGAAGAATAAACAAATCTAAAAATTATTAGGCATGATGGCTTGCCAATTAGATGTTAATTCATTCTAAATGGTTGATCAGCTTCAAGGGAAGTGTGCAGATGCACACTGCCATTTCATTGATTTTGTGCTCAGTATTGATGAAGGAGGATGGGACTTCATGCTCTGTGAGGAAAGATACATTTAGCACGATCACGGCAGCCATTGGGAATGAAGAAGCCCCAGCTGATGGCTTAAGAAAGGAAAAAAGATGATCCCAGAGAACCAACTGGTGAATAAACAACAAGTCTACAGGCTGCAAGGCTTGTGTCTGGTGAAGGAAAAGCAGAAAGCCTGTTTTGAGTTCCAACCCATAAAAATATGAGCATCAGCAGTACTTTTTGTAAAATAAATGAGGTGCCAGGGCTCACATGATGTTAAATTATGAAATGTCTTCCTCCCTCCTCCTCTCTTCCTATATTCCTCCTCCCCTCTTCTTTATTCCCACTAACTTGTGAACTTGTTGTTCTTGCCAGAGGAGTCAGTAGAGGTGGGAATGTTAATTTATTGAAGGCCTTCCCAATGAATGGTGTTTGTAAGCTGCTGGTGAGTTGGTGAGCTGAACAGATGTACGTCGTGTAAGTAACCTTCTAGAGCAGGGAAAATGGAGTTACAAACTCCTGATTTCTTTCAATTTAAATCAATTTACTAAATATTAATTAGTTACTACTCTGTGACAGGTAGCAGTTGCAGCTACAAAGGAAGTAAACGAGGTAGGATGTGCTCTCGGGAAACAGTCTAGGATGAAAGACAGACAACAAAGACATCATCATGCAAAGTGATGAGTATCATTCTAAGAAATGGAGAGGCACAGAAACAAGATAAACTAGTTGTATATGGTGATGAGATTGCTCAGGAAAGTCTTTTTTAAATGCTTAAGATTTGAGTCAGTTTTGAAGAGGAGAATGAAATGGGTTTGCATTTTAAACGAGGGGGAAGGTATGGAACTCCAGGAAGCAGGAGCCACATCTGCAAGGCACGGAAGTGAGAAATGTCTGGTGTGTTACAAAATAATCCAAGTACTTTGGTATCGATAAAGTACAGTTTTGTATAATCAAGTAATGAAGTGCAGATCTGCAGAAAGCCATCAGACAGCAGGATTTCTCCAAAGAAAGAAGAAAAAATGGAGTTTGGTGAACTCCATCGTTAGCTAGCAGGGAGGACAGGAGTTCAATGCAGCTTCTAGTTCCATGTGTGAAGTTAACAAAGGATAAAGATAGCAAAGTGTCAAACACCGGAACTTCTGATACTTTCCCATACATGTTAATCTCTTCTCGTTCCGTCAAAATAGTTACCAGTGAAACTTTAAAAGGAATATGGGTCTTTGGGCATTTTTCTTCAAGAGAAACAAAACAAAGAGGAACTGGGAAACTACCACACAGGCAGGGGTGCAAACTTCCCCAGGGCATCAGAGTAGGTTAAGGCAGCTATAGAGAAAGAAAGCCAAGTGGACTATAATAGTAAACCTCATCATGGGGGACGGGGAATGAGTGGTATGCATGAAATACCTGTTCGAATCTGAGAAAGGGCCCAGGGTTATGGGACAGTTACTAAGAAAGGATATTTTTTTCCTCACGTATAAATCAGTCCAAAGCATGCTTTCTCAATGTGAACAAGATGTCTCCTGGCCCCAGGAAAAGACATGAGGCTGCATCCAACACCATACCAAGGTCTGGAAGAATCAACAAGCTTGCTATTCTCTGCTTTTGGTGCTAAATAATACTGACCTGAGAACCTTGTCTAAGAATGGAATGGGTTTATTAATTTTGATAACCAAGGGAATCAGCCACTTTGGAAGCAAAGTGAAAATATACAACTTATTTTTTAGAAGCAAAACTTAAAACCCTTCCAGAAAAAAAAGAAACATAACACAAAACCATATACTCAGAATCGTTAGATTCTGGAGAGGAAATACAATATAGAGACTAGAATCTAAATGCTGCTAAATAAATGGAATTCTCTAAGCCAAGCACAGTGATGTACTCCTGTAGTCACAGCTACTGGGTAGGCTGAGGCAGGAGGAGCACTTGAGCCCAGGAGTCCAAGGCTGTTGTGCACTATGATCATGCCTGCGAATAATCACTGCCTTCCAGCCTGGGCAACAAAGGGAGACCCTGTAACTGGAAAAAAAAAAAAGAAAGGAAAAAGAAATGGAAATGGAATTCATCCCAATCTCTCCTTTCTGAATAGACAGAGAGTCTGACGGGTACATATATGGTGGAAAGATGGACTGCTTCATGTGCAAAAAGGAGTAACCATGCTGCCTATCACATGGAGTCACACGGGGAGCTACTTACTGAAAATGTCTTCCTTCTCAAATATCTGACATACAGTAACTTCTCCATATTTATGCCCTAGGAGGAACAGCTGAAGAATGTACAATGACTAATGGTCTCCCTGTGGGGGCTGGGGAGATCAAATTCATGAAATTATTTCCTATTTATTTAAACTCATAGTGTTGGAATTAATCATTTAATTTCAGCAAGATGTTTCAGAGGTGTGGAATGTTGGATGTCTATTGAATAATGGCATTCTAAAAAAAGTGGTAAGGTCTCATTACAGAGATACTTATCTCTTCTTGACATCGGCATTGAGATGTAGGTTTAGCAGTAGCCTCACAGATGAGGAAACTGAGGTTGAGTAACTCAAGCTTCCATTGCTACTAAGTGGAAGAATAAAAATCAATAAAAAGGACTGCCTCATCAAAAATAATGCTCTTTTCAACAAAGATTCAGGGACAACTGGATATCCATATGCAAAAGAATGAATTTGGATCCTAGCTCCACATCATACACAAAAATTAACTCAAAATGGATCTTAGAATTAAATGTAAGAGCTAAAACTCAGACTGCCATGACACAAGTTTACCTATGTAACAAACCTACATATGAACCCCTTAACTTAAAAGTTAAAAAAATTTCTCAATATTTTAATGTGTGGATAAATAAAAACTAATTTCTCAGTAGTAAGAACAATGGTCTTAGAGATAATAGGACCTGTGATTGCTTTCCAAGTTTACCAGTAAATAGCTGTATACTGAAGGTTATATTGCCTAACATAGTCAGCTGGCCAGTAATTCAATTATCCATTTCTTAGATGTTCAATATATGACAGATTCTGATCAAAGTAACAGAAATTATGTAGAGAACAAAACAAGAGCTGCCCCTCTCTAATGGATAAACAATGGTTTCCTGGATAAGACACTAAAAGCACAAGTGAAAACAGGAAAAAAAAATAGATAAATTGAATAACATCAAAATTAAATACTCTCGTGCTGCAAAATATATTATAAATGAAAAGACAACTTACTATTCAATAATATAGAGACAACCCAATGAAAACATAGGAAAAAAATTGATGTTTCTCCCAAAAGGTATACAATGGTTAATACATACATAAAAAGATGCTCAACATTCTTAGTCATTAAAGAAATGCAGGCCAGGTGTGGTGGCTCACGCCTGTAATCCCAGCACTTTGGGAGGTGGAGGCAGATGGATCATGAGGTCAAGAGGTTGAGAACAGCCTGGCCAATATGGGGAAACCCTGTCTCTACTAAAAATACAAAAACTAACCAGGCGCGGTTGCAGGTACCTGTAATCCTAGCCACTCAGGAGTCTGAGGCAGGAGAATCACTTGAACCCGGGAGGCGGATGTTGCAGTGAGCTGAGATCACGCCACTGCACTCCAGCCTGGGCGGCAGAGCAAGACTCCGTCTCAAATTTAAAAAAAAAAAATGCAAATCAAAATTATAATGAGTATCACTTTATACTCATTAGGATAGCTAAAATCAAATGGATAGACAACACGTGTGGGTGAGCATGTGGGAAAATTGGAAGTTTCCTACAATGCTGGTGGAAATGTAAAATGGAACAGTCACTTTGGAAAACAGTTTGAAAGTTCCTCAAAATGTTAAACATAGATTTATCCTGTGACCCAGCAATTGCAGCCTTAGATATATACCTATGATAACTGAGAATGTACACCTGCACAAAAACTGGTACATAAACAATGCATAGCAGCATTATTCATAATAGTCAAAAGGTGGAAACAACTCATATATCCATCAACTGATGTTAAGATAAATACAATGTGATATAACCATACAATAGACTATTATTCAGCAATACAAGTGAAGTTCTGATACATGCTAACACATGGGGATAAATCCTGAGACATTATCATAAGTATAAGAACCACTCACAGAAGACCACGTATCCTATGATCCCATTTACCTGAAATGTCCAGAAGAAGCCAATCAACAGAAACAAAAAGTGGATTTAGTGGTTGCGTAGGACTGGGGATGGGGAGTGACTGTTATGGATGTGGGACTTCTTTTCAGAGAGATATAAATATTCTAGAATGAGGTTATGGTTACGGTTGCACAACCCAGTGTGTTTACTAAAAATATTACATATTGAACTTGAAATGATTTGTGTATGGCAAGTGGATTACCTCAATTAAGCTGCTTTAAAAATACAGGTTAACAGTCAAACAAACAAGTAGAAAACCCATGTTCTTTTACTATGTAGCATTTAAACTGTACACTATACTCCCAGAGTGGGATCTAGATTCATGCAAATTACTTCTAATCACAGTTCTCTCACTCACTACCTCTATGACTTTTGGTAGCATACCTTCTGGGCCTCAGTTTTTTTCCCTCTTAAAGTAGAAATAACAGTGCCCATGTCCTGGGATTGCCATGAGGATTAAACAGCGTACTTAAATGCTTAGCAGAGAGCCTGGTACACCTAAGTACCTTGTTAATTGTTGCCTTTTTTTTCATTCTTCCATTTTGCAAAAGGGATCCAGGCTTAGTCATGTCTGCCACTTCCTAACACCTGCAAACACGGCTCCCACCTGAATAGCAGTCACCATGTTTAATGGCTTTGTTTATTGTTGATGCTTGGTGTTCACACATGATAACACTCAACCGAGCAGCAGAATATATTGAGAAGAGCATGGACTTGTTCAAGATAGAAATAGGTCCAAAATGTGTTTCTTCCGTGATGGCTTATGAACTAATCCTTTCAAGCTTCAGTTTTATTAATCAATAAATGAGTCAGTAATGTCTGCCTAGGAAGGTTGTTATGAGGATCAGACACTGTGAACTGTGGTAAGATGGAAAACACCAAGCACAGTACTTGCCACTGAAGACACCACTAATATGAGCTCCCTTCTCTTTCCTTGCCTTCCATGCTTTCAGCCTCAATAAAATAAAATGATCTAATAAGGGAACAAAAATCCTCTTGACACGACAGAGAAAAAAACCACCTTGGCTGATATTTCCTCTGCCAAAAAGATCTTATCCAGAGCTTCTTAAATGACTCCAATTAAGAGGTATTTTTTGAAGACACACACGTACAGGGTTTTTTCCCCCTCTTTTTGCAGTGATCAGTTTAGACAGAAAGAAATAGACAGACTACTTCAATTTCACATAGAATTTGATGAAAAATTTAGAACTCTAACCACTCCTGTTCCCTAAATTGGCATTTATTAGAGTTATGAGGAGAGGTTGCAAGAGAAAACTACATCAAAAATATGCACAGGGCTTTTGGAGAGATACTTTCTGGAAGTGATGCTGTCTTACTGTCAGTCTTTGAAAGAAATATCAAAAAGGTAATGTGAGCTGAAGCTTAAGATTTCTCAATATGTCCATTTCAGTTACAAAGGATTTTTATGCTCCATTTCAGACATTATTTAAACATTGTTATTCCTGCAAACATGCCACACAGAGATAAGGTTTTGCTCTGAACCACATCGAAATGCAGATTGGTCTAGAAAGTCAGTTTCAAAGTGCCTTCTTGGAGGTAACTCTTTACTAAGCCTTGGAGAAATTTCAATTGCAAACCTTCAGTGGGGGGGATGGGGTTTAAGATTTGTAATATTCTTTTTAATCATGTGAGTCGCACAACACCGGTACAGTTATAATCTGAATAGAGTTGCTGGAAACATCAGGGCATTATACTGTAGCTGCTTCATTTAATCTAATGGTCCACATTTAGGTCATTTCTATGCATTTTAATCTATTTAATGATCACCTTTCTTGGGAGATTTACAGCAGCTAGGTGTCAGGGGTTCTGGTACCTAGGAGCCATCACGGCACAATAAATAGTAGAAAATGCTACTGGAAAATGCATGTTTTGTGTAGATCTGCCCTCATTAAACACCACAGTGATATTTGCTGAGAACCCCCAGGTGTCTCACAAGATTTAATAATGAGCATTTTATAGGCATCCAAAGAACAAATTTGATCTTGCTTATTTCGTTAAGTAAAGTAGAATATACTGAAATACTGGATCCTTCGGTAGAACAGGTGGACACTTACTTACAGATCATTTCCCTAGATCAGGGTTTTCCTGAATGTTCTATGAAAGATGAGCAAATGTAGCTCCCTACAGTCTAGGAGATTTAGAGTTAACTGTATTCACTCATTCAAGGTTCTGAAGAAGTCCTGCAAAGGGATGTATTTTGCTTGTTTGTGTAGTCTAACGTTTCCCAAACCAAGTTAATTACAGAAACTATCTTCACCTTGTAACCTCTTTCAACATCTTGTAGAACATACTTCAGGAAGGAGAGCCTTAGCCTATACCTAATATCAGATTTTCACTGGAAAAATAAAACATAAGTTTGCAGACAGACATGTCTGGGCTTCTGTCTGGAACTTACACGCATTGCAATCTCACATCATAAGCTACTTCAGCTCTCAGAGCCTTACTTTCACCTTTTGGAAAAATAAAGATAATAATAGCTACCTTGCAGTATTACTGTAAGGTTCAAGTGAGAATATGTATGCCAAATGATTAGGAAAGCAGCTGGCACGTAGTAGGTTTAAATTCACCTTAGCGGCCGGGCGCGGTGGCTCACGCCTGTAATCCCAGCACTTTGGGAGGCCGAGGCGGGCGGATCACGAGGCCAGGAGATGGAGACCATCCTGGCTAACAAGGTGAAACCCCGTCTCTACTAAAAATACAAAAAATTAGCCGGGCGTGGTGGCTTGCACCTGTAGTCCCAGCTGCTCCGGAGGCTGAGGCAGGAGTATGGCGTGAACCCGGGAGGCGGAGCTTGCAGTGAGCCAAGATCGCACCACTGCACTCCAGCCTGGGTAACAGAGCGAGATTCCATCTCAAAAAAAAAAAAAAAAAAAAAAAAATTCACCTTAGTTCCTTTCTTCGCTCCATTCTATTCTATGAAATCTCTAAAAGACTGGAAATATAATCATGAATAAGATGCTTCCTGCTTTGCAGAATCTTATATATTTTTTCAAATGAAAGCCCGGCCTCTGTTTTAGACAGCCCTCTGGACAGACATTTTGGGAAGCCGATAAAGGAGATCTCACTGTAAATGAGCACTTACCATATGCCCCATGTAAAGTCTGCAGTGCCTCATTTAAGCATCACAGCAATGCCATGAAGTGGGCATTTCCTATGAGACAACTACGTTTACTAGAAATACGTGACATGTCTGAGATCACACAGCCAGAACTGGAAAAGTAGAAAATAAACCCAGAATTATCTCCTTGAGAAGAACCTGTTCTTAGCAACCACTGGGTTGTTACTTATCATTAAGAACTTGTTCTTAATCCTCCCAGTCTGGAATAAATGACCAGTCATAAGGCACTTGAAGAGAAAGAAGAGGAAAAAAAGAAAGGTAGAAAGAAAATTAAAAGAGAAGAAAGTCACAGAGCAAGAACATGAATGAGACATGGGGCAGCTGGATCATGTGTGACAACCAAATGGGGCCTCAGGGGATGCTGCTGCGGCTCTGTTTGGCAGAAGTCTGCAAAATATTGGGAATCTGTCACAACTTGGCAAATGACATGTCACATTAGCCAGTAAAGCTCAGAGTGATTAATACAGATTAAAATATTATTTCACGTGCCAGGATTTTGTCCATCAGGTATATGTACAAAATGGTAGAAATTTCTCTATACTCCCAACTCAATGGCCTCAAATAGTTGTATTATTTCTCTAGGAGTTTGTGGGCTATAACTTAGACTTTTGTGAAACACTATCAGTAAAGGTGAGAGAGATTACAAGAGTTTAATTAACTTTGAAGCAATAGAAGAGTGGTGATGAGAATATGATGTTTTAGTGACATAAGTTTGGAATTGAAGATGATTTTGAGTGGATTAAGAAAAGCCTCTAAGGACCCTGCGTTCAAATAATTTCGAAAAGTGATGAAAGAGTTATCTTTGAATATTTAGAATGGAGTCATCTTAAACAGTCAAGAAATCTGTACTTTTGAACATCTTTATGCATAATTATAATGGTTAGAAAATCATTTAGAAAGTTGGTTTATGTCAATAGAACTATGTTCATCTAATTTATCTAATAAATTAAAATATATTCATTCAATTTATATCTATCATGGATTTCCTAATACCTAGAATTGGGATGAACAAAGAAGACACAAAGATGAATGAGCCCTGGACATCTGCTGCATGGAGCTCGCTGAGGGAAAGAGATGTAAAAGTCATACTAGCTTAGTGAAATGGGTTCCAGGAGAAGACCATGTTGGGAGAATAGCCAGTGAAATGAGTCATCTTAATAGGGGAAGAACTAAAAGAGGATGTCCACAGGAGATGGTGTTCAAGTTACATGTTGAAGAAGGCTAAGACTTTGACGGGGAGATGGTGGGCAAGGAGAATCCCAAACAGAGGAAACCCTCAAACGGAGGAAATTTTTAGGGCAACGTCAAGAAGGCAAGGAGGTGTGAGGTAGCTATGCATACTTCCGAGTGCAGTTAGCCTGGAGTGCTAAAGTCCATGCCCCCAAGAGGACATTGTGTGAACTGAAACTACTGGGCAAGAAGGCTCCCGGTCCTTGTGGGCTTCAAAGGTCATGTCTATGACTTCCCATGGGGAACAGAAAGCCACAGAAGGACTTCAGCAAGACAAAGATGAATGCACATTACGTAAAGGACAACCCAAGCATCTCCACGGAAGAGACTCTGCAGTTAGGTAAAGCATCTTATGAGATATAGAGACATTGTGGAATAGTCAGAAAGGGTCCCTTGGGCATCTTTCTAACATGCAGCCATCCTTACTGAAATCTGCACTCTAGACAGCATGATTTAGTCCCTCCCTTCAGTAAAGGATAAAATCTTCCTATATAACCTCTGCATGAAATCTCAGATCCTTTAGTAGAATTTTGAGTCATATTGCATAAAATAGCATGGCTGAGGCAAACTTTGACTTCTACATATTTTATGTGGTATATTTCATAGAGTCAGAAGTTCAGGATTGAAAGAAGCATCAAAGACAATTTAATTTGACCCTTCTGTTAATGCTTGAATCACTTCTATGAGATTCCTGTCACAGTTTGCCCAGTCTCTGTCTGATAATGTAGACCAACAGGGAATACATTGTTTGCCCAAATAAAAGTACTAATCACGCCACTGGGGACAGGGGAACAGGATGGACTGAGACAGGGTAGTGTACAAGCAGGAATTCAGTTCTTGCAGGTAGCAGGAGTCAGACCTGGAGAAGGCAGGGTACATGCTGGGTGAGTGCAGGGGTTGTGTCCAGGTGGCCAGAGACCACCTGGAGCTGGGGAAACTTGTGGAAATCTCAGTTTACAGGGAAGGGTTGTGTACGTGTAGCAGGAGTGTCATTCTGAGCAGAAGTCAGCATCCACATCACTGGGATTCATATGCAAATGCTGGAAAGTGAAGTACTGAAGTACTAGGGCTAAGTGTTACCATTTAGAACCTGGTTGAATCAACCTCCACCCAAAGCCACAGGTGGAGGTTAGGGTCTATGATTTCAGATTGATCACAGGTTGAGATTACAAGTCCAGGGCTGGTAAAGGGAAAGGCTCAGGAGAAAGGCCATAAAGTGTGAGAGTCTTTGGAGCTGGTTTTATGAGTCATGTCTACAGAGATAAGGTGGAGAATTTAAAAGAAGTAGATGAGGCCAGGCATGGTGGCTAGCACCTTTAATTCCAACACTTTGGGAGGCTGAGGAAGGAGGACTGCTTGAGCCCAAGGGTTTGAGACCAACCTGAGCACCATAGCGAGACCCCGTATCTAAAAATAAAAATAAAAAAAATAAAAAAATAAATTAGCCAGGCATGGTGGTGCATTCTTGTAGTCCCAGCTACTAGGGTGGCTGAGGTGGGAGGTCATTTGAGTCCAGGATGTCGAGGCTGCTGTGAGCTGTGATCACACCACTGCACTCCAGCCTGAGTAATAGAACCACACACTGTTTCAAAAAAAAAAAAAAAAAATGTAGATGAACCTAGACAGAGCCCAGATGAATCAAAGACTGGAAAGAGTATTTAGGACTCCTCTGAATTCAAAATTTGGTGAGTAGCTACTTATTCAAGGTCATATGGTAGATGTGACTGCCACAAGAGTGGACAGGACAGACTCATCTTTACCTGCAGGGAGTGTATAGTGTACCTCGTCTATTCATAGCACCCATGGCTGAGATTTGGCTTCATGCACCCTGGTTTGACTTTAAACCCCATTGTGAATTCTTTCAATGTGTAAGCCCCTCTCCATTTTCCTGTTGCTGCTTTGATTTTAAACACATGAAAATGCTGGACAAAAACAAGCTGCTGGATAATATGAAGAAAGTGCCTTTTAGCAGTCGGGGGGAGTAGGCTTTGTGTGCTGTAGGGAGGGCGCTTGTTGGGGGATGGGGGGCAAAGAACATCCCTGCACTGATCTTTTTAGGAAATTGGAGAATGAAAAACAAAAGACAGATTTTCAAACTAGATTTCCTCTCTGAGAGAACATCCTGAGACATTGCTATTAGTCATAGATACATAATTTAAGGGTTCAAAAGAAGTGTCAGAAAACAATTTTCATGCCAATTTTTCAAACTCAAAATGGAGGGATGAAAAATATAGGTGGCATAGAGGTCGTGAACATGCATATTCTTCAGGCTTAATGCCTCGATGTAGCAATTATAAAAATCTGGTAATTGGGCAGTTACTTTATCAGGACACTTGACGTGAAATCAGCTGGGCAGGGGAGAGTCTGGGAGATGGTTTTGAGCATAAACTTATTGAATAAGAATTTTTTAGATCAGAGCTAATTCAGGAAAAACAGTTTCTTCTGTTATGCTATGGAACAAGATAAAAACAAGATGGAAGCAAATTAACTTAAATTCTCTCTCCTCCCCCTTTCCTTTTTTTTTTCTCTCTCTCCCACTCACTTTTGCTCTCTTGCTACACACAGATGAGTACACACCATCAACAGAGCTATTTTAGCTTTGCTAGCATAACTAGTCATTGAACATCAAGATCTAGGAAGAGACACAAAGTAGTCGTATATTTGTAGATACAAGGAAACAAGAAAAAGTAATGAATATCCAATCCTAAGTCTTCACTTGGCTAGGTAGTGAGCACTTCAAACTCAATACCTCTTAAACTTAACTCATGCTCTCTATGGCAACTCTCTCCATTTTTTGTTTGTTTTCCCAAATTTGGTAAATAGTACTAACATTCATCTACACCTGCAAATCAAAAACATGGGTGTCATCCTTTATACCTATTTTCCCTCTCCCTTCTTTTCCAATTAATGTCTATCTTCTATATAGTCCAGTTCCTGAATTGTCCTTAAAATCTATCACTTTTCCCTCTCTCCACCACCGCCATCCATGTCCAAGGTACTATTGCTCTGAATGGTTGCCTTGATCTTGGGTTAGTACATGTCCCTTTTGTTCCCAGTTGAATTCACTGTTTCACCTACAGCTGCCCACATTATCCTTTTAAAAATGTAAATCTAATCATGCCCTCCATCCTGCCCCATTGCTTAGCAGTTTCTCATTGTTCTTAAGAAATCCTTAATGAAACTACATATTCCCTTATAATAAGACCCTGATTTATCACTGTAAATTTGTCTAATAATACTAGAACAATATTTTTTCTTCTCATGACATTAGTATTTGTTTTTCTTGTAGATCCCTGGATTTGCCATGCTTCTTCTGTCTTCAAGGCCTTCCTTCCTACATGCCTTTCCCTTATTTGTTCCTTAAAATGCAATTTTCCCGTTACCTAGAAATAAAAGTCTACAAAAGAAGCTTTCCCACACCTCCTAGACTAAGTCAGGTTCCTGTTATGCTTCCCTGATACCGTTTTTTATCATGATTGTTGAAATTAGTTGTTTAATAACTAACTATTCTGCTAGAATTGTAAGTTCCATTAATTTAAGAAAAGATGTATGCTGGCCAGGTGCCATGGCTCACGCCTATAATCCCAGCACTTTGGGAGGCCGAGGCAGGCAGATCACTTGAGGTCAGGAGTTCAAGACCAACCTGACCAACATGGTGAAACCCTGTCTCTACAAAAAAATACAAAATTAGCTGGGTGTGGTGGCAGACACCTGTATTCCTAGCCACAGGGAGGTTGAGGCAGGAGAATCACTTGGGCCCAGGAAACAGAGGTTGTGGTGAGCCGAGATCATGTCACTGTACTCCAGCCTGGGCGACAGAGTGAGACTCTGTGTCAAAAAAAAAAAGAGAAAGAAACAAACAAACAAAAAGGAAAAGATGTATTCATGTATTCTGATAACCAATGTATCCTCAGAGCCTGAAAAGGCATCTGAAACTGAGTAATCAAAAGGCACATATAAAATGGATAAATGATTTTCATGGGTGATCTTTGATTTCTTATAATCACAATGGATTGTCCTGATGAATCAGATGGGCCCAAGTAAATATAAAGTTCTGAGCCTGAATCCCAAAGATCAATTTTCTGAGAATACATGGAGGAAAAAAAAAATACATATGTATATATACACACACACACACACACACACACACACACACACACACACATATATATATATATATATATATATATAAACAGAGAATTCTTGCTTGACTATAAGCTTAATTAAAATGAAATACTGCTGGTTATCATTGCTTAAAAAGTGATTTTAATCTTGGGCTTTGTAAAGAGAAGTAGATTATTCAGAACAAGAAATGTGGCACTTCTGTTCTACTCTGCACTGTGTAGGCTGCTCCTGAAATACTTCATTCAGGTTTGGGATTCTGGGAACTTATATATTTGAACAGTCCAGAAGTGAGAGAAACAGATGCCGAAGGGGATTGAAAATCATGAAAACTATGAGGCATTGTTGAAGGAGCTGGAGCAGTACCTGAGAACTCTATTCAAAAATATGAATAACTCTCATGCTTGTAATCAGAGTGTCCATATGGCCTAGAAGAAAGAGACAAGGGCCCATGGGTGGATTTTGAATGGAGACAAATGATGGCTTTCTGTTTGGAGAACAGTTTTGACTAAACGTCCTGAACTGTGATATAGGCCTTGCCCCATACTGAAAGAACATTCTAGAAGCCACTATTTTGTGGGAGTGGAATGGACGAACCTGGAAGATTGTGAGGTTTCTGCCACTGGAATTGCTCAAATATAGACTGGCTGGCCGCAAGGTGCTGATATTCAAGAACCATCAGGGATCAGCCTCGTGCTGGTACTAGCTTCATATTTAACTGGCATTTATTTAAAAAGATACTGTGTGCCTAGAATTGTGCTGGACTATTTCACAAATGCTGACTCATATATGCCACAACACAGCTTCATAAGGTAAATACATGCTTTTGTAATCCTGTCTTGCAAGGGAGGAAAGTGAGGCTTAGCAAAGTTAAGGGACTTATTTAAAATGGCATACCTGGTAAGTGATCCTTCCCACATCCTTGTAAGTGATCCTTTCCAGGTCCTTCTTTTTTTTTTTTAACTTCACAATTTTATGTCACTTTTTAAGAATGACACTTAAAGGCCCTTCCAGGGCTTATGTTCTCTAATTTTACCGCACTGGGCTTGACACTGAACATAGCCTGCACACTTAGAAACCTAACCACAGTGTCAGTCCCTTTCCACAGCTGAACAAAAAGACAAGGGTCCTCAAATTGGGTCATTTCTAATTACCCAATGTAGCTAAGATTGCACAGAATAAAGCAGGGGGTGACAGTGGCTGACTATTTGCGATATAGTTTTCTAATTTAATATTTTATTTATACTTCTAATAGGTGAAAGTACTAGAGTTGGCAACTAGAGAGGTTATGACTCAAGTCATTGAAGGGGAAACCTGGAAAAATCACAATCAAAACTTTATTATGCTCATAATTAGGCTAAAAATAAGAGCATATGGCAGCTAAGGGAAAACATAAGCCACAGATATTGGATCTCTGGTAGACAAAGTTGAAGAGGAATGAATGCGTGGAGTAATATTGTAGGTGAAGACAGGAAAGAAATGGATGGAGTTAATAACTTAATGCATCTGGAAAAGTGGGAGCGCTGTTCAATGATAAATCGAAGTAGAAGTAGAAGAGAATAAATGAATAAATAAAGCAAAGAATAAATGGCCAGTAATGCAAGACACTAAAATCCTAAGCTGTCATCAAAGATATAAAAATGCAGGAATGGATGTGTAAAAAATAAAAAGGCAAGAATGAAATGCATCTGGCAAAAATGAGGATAAGTAATGTTTCAAAACCTTGTAAGAAATCTCTAATTGGTGAAAAGCATGTAGCTCATAAAACCCTGATGAAATTAGAGTGACAGTAGGGTAGCCCCAAAGGCAGGGATTAGACAGACATTTAAAGCAACCTGAGATATTGCCATCATATAGTAGAAAAAGAAGAAGAGAGATGTTATATTCCAGATTCCAGGGATTTTTTTTTCTTCTTACAGGATGAATGTCAAATGATGTGAAGAAGAGTGAGCAGGCATAGTTAAAAGAGCATAGATGAATTTTGGGATCATACCATTGGGCATTAGGATATAAAAGTTATGAAACAAAGTGTGCCCTTTGCCAATTTTTCTAACCTTTATATCCTCAGTATTTTCTTTGTTGTGTGGAAATACTAATGCCAACTATACGGTACTGTTATGAGCATCGGATATAAAAAATGTGTGTAAATGACCTGCCAAACAGCTCCCTACATGGAAGCTATTCCAATTTCAAAGTAGGGTGGCATCGTGGAAAGAGCTATTACAGAAATGAACTAGGAGGGAGGGAAGGAAATTAACCTTGACTGAGCCCTGGCAGTGTTCTGGGCACATACGCACATTAATTCTTTCAATCCTCACAACAACCCTATGAGAGTGACACTAATTTCCCCCAAACGGAGGTACAGAAGGCTTAAATTAAATGTCTTGGGTCTTGCCACTAATGATTGATAAATCTGGAAATCAAAGCCCAGTTTTTGCATTACACCAGTCGATTAAAATACGTGGGCCATCTTAATTTGCCCAGTTCAGATGCCTGAAAGCTATGACCTTATTCTTACCATTTAGAGTCTTGGGTTCTCTATCATATTCAAAGAATTTGCTTTTACAGTTTTGTTTTCACCTCCAATCCACAGGGCAGAGAAAAGACCCTCAAGACATGGGATATCTTAGGAGTTCATGAAGTTCAAAAATTATTCCAGCTCGTTTCTCCAGCCCTCCATCCCAGTAAATATGCCATGGAGCAGGAGACACAAGGAGAAATTACAGACTCCAAAAGCCACTGGCAGCAAAGGAGGGAAGCAAAGAACTAGTAGCATGCCTGAGGGGATGCTTAGGCTCTGTCTTTCTATCAGTTCAGCCAGTGGATCTTTAATCTAGTTTGAAAACTTCAGCCCCAGATGGACGTGGGCAGCCTTTAGAAATGTATTCTCAGCAAGGGAGGTGTCAGGATGGATTCATAAGAGGTATTTCATGCCTCACAAATCACCTTGAATATTTCATGTACATTAAAAAATTAGTAGACAAAACCGGAGCAGTGGTGTATAATTTACATAATTTCCAAGATGTTTTTGATACAGAGCAGGGCAGAAGATTTATCTGTGGGCACATTAAGCTGCACTTGGAACAAAATGCACTGGCTCTGCATTAGTGTCCATCAGAGAGGGTAGCAAAGAGCTACGTCGTGTTGAAGCAGTAAATATGGGCATAGCAAAGAGAAATATTAGCTTCATTTTTCTTTATCTTCTGCAGAGAGGACTGGTGAGTTTCTGCTCTCTGAAGGATGAGATAGCATTGCCCGCGTATGAATGAGTTTAAAAGGCATAAACAAGGGAGTCTGATGGCCTAATTTGGAAGGGTCCAGCGGGAATCTGCCTCCTTGCAGATAATGAGATCGTATTTGGAGTAGATATGCCACCAAGGGAGAAAATGAATTTAATAGAAATATCACTGCTATTTACAACTAAAGAAACATTGGCAAAATATGCTGAAAAGAGAATGAATTCATGGTCTGGGACCTTTTTTATGTTTGGAAAAGCACTTAGTATGTGACCCTCATCCTGTGGATAAATGTAATATGAATTTATAGTAATTCAAACCTCTGAGTTATATTTAGCTAGGATCGAAAGAGTTTGAAAATTCAGCCTTGAGCTACATTTACTGGCTGAAGAATCAGTGTCTTGCATTTACTTTCTACCTTTCTAGGTTCTAAAATTCTCAGTATTTGGCTCCAGTCTGTTGGGGTTTTTTTTTTAACTGATGATGTGTCCCCAGTTGACGATACAAGGACACTCATTTGTGTGCAGCTCAGAACAATGACTGTGTCTTGATCGACGATGAAAAGAAGCATTTCTTCTGCTAATGGGAAATCACACAAAGATGTAGAATTTTTTTTTTTCTTTTTCTTGGTCCTTTGGCTTTCTTGCATATGGGGGTATGTTTCCTTAGAGACTTCATGATGGTAATGAATTCAGAGTTTATTGACATACATTTATAGAACACATAGATTAATTTCTACAAATAAACACTAAAGTTAGTGTATTTACGGGGCAGTCCTGGACTGGAAATTGCGTGTGCCCTCAACTCTGTGTAAGCTGGTCTCCCTTGAATCTAGCTGCTTTGGAAAATTTTGGGATTGGAACATATAGTAACTAGTTTTTTTCTTATGACTATAAAAAGTAGAAGAAGGAGAAACAGTGAACTAGAAAGGGGAGTACAATAGGAAATGCAAATAACCATGGTCCTTCTGGTTAGATAACCATGACAATGGTTTATGTTTTTTAGTTACCCACCTACCTTGGGCACATTTGCAGGTTGCTTCATTTGAGTTACCCAACGTATGGGTGACATTTACCTCCATTTTTCAGATTAGCAAACTGATTGTTGGAGAGTTTTAATGACTTCTCAGGTCATACAGTCTTTGAATTGGAGAATTAGGTTCTGCACCTAGGATTGACTAGCCACATGTCCAGGATGCTAAGTGAAGCTCAGAGGCCTGGGAGAAGTAGAACTCTAGGCAAAGCCACAACCAGTCAGGGAGGCTTGAGACTTGCCCCTTCCTTCCAGGTACCTGATTTCCTCTTTCTTCCCTAGTGAGAACCCAGGCTCTTTTTATGGATGTGGGAAATAAAATGAGATGAATGAGCCTGAGATTTAAATTGTTATAAAACTATTAAAGAGAAATCTGTCTTAAGTTATCACCTAAGGGGCCAGTAAAAATTGGTCGTCATAGAGGTGGATTTTTAAATAAAGGTTGAACAAAATTACACTCAGATCCTTAGGGATGCTTCTAAATAATATTTTAAAACAGGGGGTTACACAGTGAGGTGACCTTCCTGTCATACTGCCTGTATTATACCAAGATATCCTATGCCCAGCAAGGCTCAAAGAATGCACATTCTCTCTTAGGAAACTTCAGTGTCCCCTGGATCTTTTATTATCTTGCCCAGAGCAACACTCTGATCTTGGGGAGAGCGAGAGTCAAGACTTCCTTCAAAACTGGGGACTCACCTGAAATTTCCACCCTTGAAAATCCCTTTGAAGAATATTTTATTTCTGCAAATGCATCTCCATTCCTAACCCTCCCACCTCCACTATATCACTGCTTTGCTTGAAAACCAATGATGCTTACCCTGCTTTCATGGTGCATTATCAAATCTACCAACATCATTTCTCCACTTTCCTGGTATGTTCTATTGGCCCCTGTGTACAACCATGAGTGCACACCTAAAGAGCACTGCAACAATCACCTCGTATGTTGAGATTTTCTAAACCCAGTGCAACAGAGATATGTTTTTGCTCTTTTATGCCCTGAGCTCACCTTACCATCAACTCAACTTGCAGATTTGTGTTTGGGTGTGGCTGAGTCTACGTGTTTGGGAGAATTTTAAGGGCAAAATTTAAGCCAGTCTTTACTGGCTGGAGCATCACTTCCCCCAAGCTTAGAAGAGTATTTGACCTGCTGGATGGAGACAGTGAATGTTTATTGAATTAAGGAATGCAAAGTGAATGAATGCGTGAGTGGAAGGCTTGTTCTAGAAAGACAGATGGAAGCTTCTCTATTCCCAACGTACAGCTGGTCATTGTCATGTCTTCTTCCTCTCTCTTACACTTCTCTGACTGTTCAAATCTCCCCTGCCCATCAAGACCAAATCTACAGTGTGTTTCCTTTCTGAACACATTCCCTTATAGCTCATTAACCTTATAGGTGTTTAGTCAATGAGTCAACATTTGTGGATTGTTCAGTGGGTGTTGAAATTGATGGGAAAGAGAATGAGCTTCAGGGAGGTTTGCATCTGAGTGACTACATTTAAGTGGAAAGACCTTTTCTTTCTTGACTTCATTTTCAGCCATCCTGAGCAAAGTGAAAAGTGGTAGACAATGAGAATTTAATGATTTTAATAAGGAGGTGCAGGTTGGTGAAAATCACCTCCCAGGTATTAGAATTGGGCCACAATAGGTGGGTTCTAGGGAACTCAATGACAGATGTTTTTGCCTCCTGAAGGGGATGGGGAAATAAGCCCATCTGCCCATTTCAGAGGGTGCCTGTACTTAGGTATGCATGAGATTTACCTGAAAGGTGAAATTTAGACCCTCAGAGAGAAAAGGCAGCCACGGAGATGAGCCTATAATCTGCCATTATTCTCCTGGAGGTAGATACTTCACGTATCCGAGAGCTCAGGTCTGCTGAAAACCACTTTGAAAAGGATTCAGTCTAGATATGCAAAGATGAATAAGACTCACTGCATCATTCTGTCCACACCTGCCTAAGAAGGACATTGCTTCTAGGTTTCAGGCAGGATAATTGATCTTAGTCCTGAAACCACATTATATCAGGATAGGGCTTTTGTCAGAAGTTCTTTAAGACCATGATTTCATTAAGCTTTCTTATACCTTGTAATAGAGAAACATCTTGCTTCCTTTACAGATGGGCAAAATGAGGCTTAGAAAAACGTGATGCTTCTGCAGAGGAAGTAGGGGGTGGGAGTTTATAGTGCATCCTCATTCCTAGCTTACCTGGCAACACAAGCTCAGCTTCTCTCCCTGAATCGTTTAAAAATCTCCACAATCAGCCAAAAGATTTATATTTTCTTATTACCTTAGCAGCTTCTTCCGAATAAATCTTTTTTTCCCAGCACAAGGAATGAATTTAAAGGAATATACTAAATTTCTAAAAAATGGGCTTGCAAAGCAAGATTCTGCTTTGACCCTAATATCTCCCTTAGATTCCCTTCTGCACACATACACCCTTATCAAACATGATTCACCTTCTCTGGGAACAGGCTGAGATTGGAGTCATGGCCAAAGGCAGGAATGGAGGTGTGGGCATTTTCATAGTATATAATGAGCAAATGAATGATGACTATGAGGAATTTTGGGTGTCAGACCACCAGTTACCAATAGTTTTCAAAGAGTAGAAGAATTTGAGGAGAAGGTGATTTTTAATATAATTACATGCAGAAATATGTTTTGAGGAATGAATTTTTAAAATTGCGGTCATTGATGTTTTTGCATTTCTCTTCCATTAGAGAGAATAAAAACAATCTAATTAAAATTATAGCCTCATGCTAGATCATCTTATTAGCTCCATGAGATTTCATACATAGGCTCACTGAACATCTGGAATTCCAGAACATCATCCATTGCCAACTTTAAAATAGATACCTAAATACATATAGATACATGCATATGATGGGCACACACTGCTTTTTTTAAAAGTTGGAATACATTTTTTACATGAACTTGATCTCAAAGGAATGACATAGAAAAGCTAAAATGGTAAGCTTCTTGATTCAAAATCACATCCAATTCACATGAAAAATAACTTATTTGAAAAAATGCACGGTTTTTTTTCTCCTGATGAGAGTGCACAATCACTTTGAGAAATTTGGGAATAGCGGCAAAAAGTAAAGAAAACATAAAGCACACATAATCTCACCCCTCAGAAGTAGCTGTTCATAGTTTCATAAACTCTGTCTTTCTTTCTTGAATTTATCATATTTTTTCACCTATAAGGTATCATACTACCCATGGCACTTACATTGTCCTGTTCTTGTTCATATTCACTGATACCCATCTTCCACATTGATAAAAATATTAATAAACATTTTAAATGGCAAGTCAATTTTATTATATAGTTACCTTTATTTCTTTATGTTGTGAATGTAGGTTCTTTGAATGCATTTCTTTCTGAAGGAAAGCTGTAAGAAAATTGAGTTGGAATTTAATTTGGAAGAAGAGTATATGACATTATAGAATGTTAAAACTAAAAGTAATTTAGAAGCTCATGTTCAGCCACCTCGTCTTATTTAGAGATATGTAAATACTCTCTGAGAGAAGAAAGATTTTTTTCTAGGGTTACAGTGTCAATGAACAATGAAGGGAGGACTGGAACTGAGACCCCAGTGATCTTCCCAGCTCCTTATCCTTCCTCTGGAAAGCATTTTCCTTCCAGAAGGATGATGTTCTGGTCCACCCTTTGAGAGGGATTGCTTATGAAATCAGCACCTGTGCCCCCACAGGAAATAAAGATAGGACTAGATGGTGAGCCAATATAGGAAAGAACACCTGTTGTTATTTCAGGTTTAAACAAGGTCTTCTGCCAAACCAAATCAGGGTAATGTGCTGAGAACACCTGGAAGAATGGTCTTCAAAAATTTCAGATGCCAACATAAGAAAGACTGCCAATGATATCATGTTCTGGGACACTCCCTCCCCACAATTCTCACATGCTCCATACCAAAGTGCCCTTATTATAATGTTCAAGAAAGGAACATACTTAGCAATCTTATAACCTTTGCCATATGTGTGTGTGTGTGTTTGTGTGTGTGTGTTTCCACTGCATCCTTAAAATTAGGTAAGCAGTTGAAGGGAAAGCATTCTATCCTATTGGTGCTATGGAACCAGGGAAGATATAGCAGAGGGTCGAACTTGGGCAGGGGTGGGGAGAACTCATTTCACCCAGATGTTTGGGACAGGCGAAGACTAAGATTTTTTATTCCTAGATGGTACAAGTAGAAGGAACATCAGAGCAATAATTTTGCTTTTTTATTAAAATTAATTTCTGAGCAACCAAGAAAGAGACAGAATGGGGCAAAGTTAGAGAAAGAGAGAAGGATAGTTTAGAAAAAGCAAATAACAAAAGAGAAATGAATGGGGGAAATAAGTGAAAAAGAATACATACTTAAATGCTGATAATGCTAATAAATATGTCAATTATATGTGCAGAAGAATGCTAGTTCTTGTGGTCATTTTTCTGCAGGGCTTACTGAAAGGAAGCAATTTGGGGAGCTTACCCTAATACCAACCCTGTCCTCCTTGATTAAACAAGAAGATAGAATTCAGGTTTGGGGGAAGTTCAGTGTTCTCAGAAAGATGTTATTCTATCCCTTTTTGTGGAGGAAGGGAGAGGGTCTTCTCCTTGGGCCACAGAAAAGAAGATGGGGTGGGGCCAAGAAAATAGTCCATAAATACTGGGCAGACCACCAAAAATGTCTCCATATTGAAGCCTTAGGTGACCTGTTTACCTGCCCTTTAATTACCAGGGCAGGAAGCTAGACACAGGGTAGACGGTATGCTGATACTTTCAAGTAGATGAGTGCAGCTAAAGCATACTCTTTATCTTTCCACCTCAAACCTTGCTTTCTGTTCCCTGTGACCTTATGCTCTACTGGCCTAAAGGTCTTAGTTCCAAAGGGAGGAGTGCTTCCACCAGGACCCAACAATGATTCCATTAAACAGGAAGTTAAGGCAGCCACCAGGTCACTTTGGGCTCCCCTGTGCTGTGCTGACTGGGGTGACTGCTTATGACCACCAAGGAGAAATGGAAGCACTTCTGCCCAATGGAGGTAGGAAGAATATGTCTGGAATACAAGAAATCCTTTAGGGTGATTAAGGTCATGCCCTGTGATTAAGGTCAATGAAAAACTACAACAATTCAATCCTACTAATGACTCAGACTCATCAGGAATGAAGGTTTGGATCACCCCACCAGGCAAAGAACCACAATCAACTAAGGTACTTGCTGAAGGCAAAGGAAATACAGAACGGGTAGTGAAAGAAGGTAGCTATAAATCTCATTATATCATACCAGTATACTATTAAGTACTATAAATAGTAGTAGTCAGGATTCACCAAAGAGACAAAATCACTGGAATGTATACATATATAAAAATAGATTAATTATAAGGAATCAGCTGCTCTCTTCAGGCCTCAAATAGATTGGATGAAGTCCACTCACATTAGGGAGGGCAATATGCTTTACTCAGTCGACCAATTTAAATGTTAATCTCACCCAGAGACATCCTCAGAGAAATGTTTCACCAAGTACCTGGGCATCCCATGGTCCAGTCAAATTGACACATAAAATTCACCATCACAGTAGAGAACCTGACACATAAATAGAATGGTAAAATGGCAGATATTATTTATTCTTATTACTTTTAATATTTTAGATCACCTTATTTTGCCTCATAGTTTCATTCATGAAAATGCAAGCATTAATAAATACATTCTAAAGGATAATGAAGGATAGAGATAGTTTTAATAATACCTGAACTGCAACCTAGAGTTGGGCTAGATTGAGTTTTGCAGGTTGCAACCTTGAATGCTTAAGCTTTGTGTTTATTAAAATATAATACACAAAGATGGCCAAATAGGAAGAGCTCCGGTCTACAGCTCCCAGAGTGAGCAACTCAGAAGACGGGCGATTTCTGCATTTCCATCTGAGGTACCGGGTTCATCTCACTAGGGAGTGCCAGACAGTGGGCGCAGGTCAGTGGGTGCGCACGCCGAAGCAGGGCGAGGCATTGCCTCACTCGGGAAGCACAAGGGGTCAGGAAGTTCCCTTTCCTAGTCAAAGATAGGGGTGACAGACAGCACCTGGAAAATCGGGTCACTCCCACCCCAATACTGTGCTTTTCCAACGGGCTTAAAAATGGCGCACCAGGAGATTATATCCCGCACCTGGCTTGGAGGGTCCTATGCCCACAGAGTCTTGCTGATTGCTAGCACAGCAATCTGAGATCAAACTGCAAGGGGGCAGTGAGGCTGGGGGAGGGGCGCCCACCATTGCCCAGGCTTGCTTAGGTAAACAAAGCAGCCAGGAAGCTCGAACTGGGTGGAGCCCACCACAGCTCAAGGAGGCCTGCCTGCCTCTGTAGGCTCCACCTCTGGGGGCAGGGCACAGACAAACAAAAAGACAGCAGTAACCTCTGCAGACTTAAATGTCCCTGTCTGACAGCTTTGAAGAGAGCAGTGGTTCTCCCAGCACACAGCTGGAGATCTGAGAACAGGCAGACTGCCTCTTCAAGTGGGTCCCTGACCCCTGACCCCTGAGCAGCCTAACTGGGAGGCACCCCCCAGCAGGGGCACACTGACACCTCACACGGCCGGGTACTCCAACAGACCTGCAGCTGAGGGTCCTGTCTGTTAGAAGGAAAACTAACAAACAGCAAGGACATCCACACCTAAAACCCATCTGTACATCACCATCATCAAAGACCAAAAGTAGATAAAACCACAAAGATGGGGAAAAAACAGAACAGAAAAACTGGAAACTCTAAAATGCAGAGTGCCTCTCCTCCTCCAAAGGAACTCAGTTCCTCACTAGCAATGGAACAAAGCTGGACGGAGAATGACTTTGATGAGCTGAGAGAAGAAGTCTTCAGACGATCAAATTACTCCGAGCTACGGGAGGAAATTCAAACCAAAGGCAAAGAAGTTGAAAACTTTGAAAAAAGTTTAGAAGAATATATAACTAGAATAACCAATACAGAGAAGTGCTTAAAGGAGCTGATGGAGCTGAAAACCAAGGCTCGAGAACTACGTGAAGAATGCAGAAGCCTCAGGAGCAGATGCGATCAACTGGAAGAAAGGGTATCAGTGATGGAAGATGAAGTGAATGAAATGAAGCGAGAAGGGAAGTTTAGAGAAAAAAGAAGCAAGCAAAGCCTCCAAGAAATATGGGACTATGTGAAAAGACCAAATCTACATCTCATTGGTGTACCTGAAAGTGATGGGGAGAATGGAACCAAGTTGGAAAACACTCTGCAGGATATTATCCAGGAGAACTTCCCCAATCTAGCAAGGCAGGCCAACGTTCAGATTCAGGAAATACAGAGAACGCCACAAAGATACTCCTCGAGAAGAGCAAATCCAAGACACATAATTGTCAGATTCACCAAAGTGGAAATGAAGGAAAAAATGTTAAGGGCAGCCAGAGAGAAAGGTCGGGTTACCCACAAAGGGAAGCCCATCAGACTAACAGCGGATCTCTCGGCAGAAACTCTACAAGCCAGAAGACAGTGGGGACCAATATTCAACATTCTTAAAGAAAAGAATTTTCAACCCAGAATTTCATATCCAGCCAAACTAAGCTTCATAAGTGAAGGAGAAATAAAATACTTTACAGACAAGCAAATGCTGAGAGATTTTGTCACCACAAGGCCTGCCCTAAAAGAGCTCCTGAAGGAAGCGCTAAACATGGAAAGGAGCAACCAATACCAGCTGCTGCAAAATCATGCCAAAATATAAAGACCATCGAGACTAGGAAGAAACCACATGAACTAACGAGCAAAATAACCAGCTAACATCACAATGACAGGATCAAATTCACACATAACAATATTAACTTTAAATGTAAATGGACTAAATGCTCCAATTAAAAGACACAGACTGGCAAATTGGATAAAGAGTCAAGACCCATCAGTGTGCTATATTCAGGAAACCTATCTCAAGTGCAGAGACACACATAGGCTCAAAATAAAAGGATGGAGGAAGATCTACCAAGCAAATGGAAAACAAAAAAAGACAGGGGTTGCAATCCTAGTCTCTGATAAAACAGACTTGAAACCAACAAAGATCAAAAGAGACAAAGAAGGCCATTACATAATGGTAAAGGGATCAATTCAACAAGAAGAGCTAACTATCCTAAATATATATGCACCCAATACAGGAGCACCCAGATTCATAAAGCAAGTCCTGAGTGACCTACAAAGAGACTTAGACTCCCACACATTAATAATGGGAGACTTTAACACCCTACTATCAACATTAGACAGATCAACAAGACAGAAAGTCAACAAGGATACCCAGGAATTGAACTCAGCTCTGCACCAAGCGGACCTAATAGACATCTACAGAACTCTCCACCCCAAATAAACAGAGTATACATTTTTTTCAGCACTACACCACACCTATTCCAAAATTGACCACATACTTGGAAGTAAAGCTCTCCTCAGCAAATGTAAAAGCACAGAAATTATAACAAACTATCTCTCAGACCACAGTGCAATCAAACTAGAACTCAGGATTAAGAATCTCACTCAAAGCTGCTCAACTACATGGAAACTGAACAACCTGCTCCTGAATGACTACTGGGTACATAACGAAATGAAGGCAGAAATAAAGATGTTCTTTGAAACCAACGAGAACAAACACACAACATACCAGAATCTCTGGGATGCATTCAAAGCAGTGTGTAGAGGGAAATTTATAGCACTAAATGCCCACAAGAGAAAGCAGGAAAGATCCAAAATTGACACCCTAACATCACAATTAAAAGAACTAGAAAAGCAAGAGCAAACACATTCAAAAGCTAGCAGAAGGCAAGAAATAACTAAAATCAGAGCAGAACTGAAGGAAATAGAGACACAAAAAACTCTTCAAAAAATTAATGAATCCAGGAGCTGGTTTTTTAAAAGGATCAACAAAATTGATAGACCGCTAGCAAGACTAATAAAGAAGAAAAAAGAATCAAATAGACGCAATAAAAAATGATAAAGGGGATATCACCACCGATCCCACAGAAATACAAACTACCATCAGAGAATACTACAAACACCTCTACGCAAATAAACTAGAAAATCTAGCAGAAATGGATAAATTCCTCGACACATACACTCTCTCAAGACTAAACCAGGAAGAAGTTGAATCTCTGAATAGACCAATAACAAGAGCTGAAATTGTGGCAATAATCAATAGCTTACCAACCAAAAAGAGTCCAGGACCAGATAGATTCACAGCCGAATTCTACCAGAGGTACAAGGAGGAACTGGTACCATTCCTCCTGAAACTATTCCAATCAATAGAAAAAGAGGGAATCCTCCCTAACTCATTTTATGGGGCCAGCATCATCCTGATACCAAAGCCGGGCAGAGACACAACCAAAAAAGAGAATTTTAGACCAATATCCTTCCTTGATGAACATTGATGCAAAAATCCTCAATAAAATACTAGCAAACCGAATCCAGCAGCACATCAAAAAGCTTATCCACCATGATCAAGTGGGCTTCATCCCTGGGATGCAAGGCTGGTTCAATATATGCAAATCAATAAATGTAATCCAGCATATAAACAGAACCAAAGACAAAAACCACATGATTATCTCAATAGATGCAGAAAAGGCCTTTGACAAAATTCAACAACCCTTCCTGCTAAAAACTCTCAATAAATTAGGTATTGATGGGACGTATCTCAAAATAATAAGAGCTATCTATGACAAACCCACAGCCAATATCATACTGAATGGGCAAAAACTGGAAGCATTCCCTTTGAAAACTGGCACAAGACAGGGATGCCCTCTCTCACCACTCCTATTCAACACAGTGTTGGAAGTTCTGGCCAGGGCACTTAGGCAGGAGAAGAAAATAAAGGGTATTCAATTAGGAAAAGAGGAAGTCAAATTGTCCCTGTTTGCAGATGACATGATTGTATATCTAGAAAACCCCATTGTCTCAGCCCAAAATCTCCTTAAGCTGATAAGCAACTTCAGCAAAGTCTCAGGATACAAAATCAATGTACAAAAATCACAAGCATTCTTATACACCAACAACAGACAAACAGAGAGCCAAATCATGAGTGAACTCCCATTCGCAATTGCTTCAAAGAGAATAAAATACCTAGGAATCCAACTTACAAGGGATGTGAAGGACCTCTTCAAGGAGAACTACAAACCACTGCTCAAGGAAATAAAAGAGGATACAAACAAATGGAAGAACACTCCATGCTCATGGGTAGGAAGAATCAATATCTTGAAAATGGCCATACTGCCCAAGGTAATGTACAGATTCAATGCCATCCCCATCAAGCTACCAATGCCTTTCTTCACAGAATTGGAAAAAACTACTTTAAAGTTCATATGGAACAAAAAAAGAGCCCGCATCACCAAGTCAATCCTAAGCCAAAAGAACAAAGCTGGAGGCATCACACTACCTGACTTCAAACTATACTAAAAGGCTACAGTAACCAAAACAGCATGGTAGTGGTACCAAAACAGAGATATAGATCAATGGAACAGAACAGAGCCCTCAGAAATAACACCACATATCTACAACTATCTGATCTTTGACAAACCTGAGAAAAACAAGCAATGGGGAAAGGATTCCCTATTTAATAAATGGTGCTGGGAAAACTGGCTAGCCATATGTAGAAAGCTGAAACTGGATCCCTTCCTTACACCTTATACAAAAATCAATTCAAGATGGATTAAAGACTTAAATATTAGACCTAAAACCATAAAAACCCTAGAAGAAAACCTAGTCATTACCATTCAGGACATAGGCATGGGCAAGGACTTCATGTCTAAAACACCAAAAGCAATGGCAACAAAAGCCAAAATTGACAAATGGAATCTAATTAAACTCAAGAGCTTCTGCACAGCAAAAGAAACTACCATCAGAGTGAACAGGCAACCTACAAAATGGGAGAAAATTTTCACAACCTACTCATCTGACAAAGGGCTAATATCCAGAATCTACAATGAACTCAAACAAATTTACAAGAAAAAAACAAACAACCCCATCAAAAAGTGGGCAAAGGACATGAACAGACACTTCTCAAAAGAAGACATTTATGCAGCCAAAAAACACATGAAAAAATGCTCACCATCACTGGCCATCAGAGAAATGCAAATCAAAACCACAATGAGATACCATCTCACACCAGTTAGAATGGCAATCATTAAAAAGTCAGGAAACAACAGGTGCTGGAGAGGATGTGGAGAAATAGGAACACTTTTACACTGTTGGTGGGACTGTAAACTAGTTCAACCATTGTGGAAATCAGTGTGGCGATTCCTCAGGGATCTAGAACTAGAAATACCATTTGACCCAGCCATCCCATTACTGGGTATATACCCAAAGGATTATAAATCATGCTGCTATAAATACACATGCACACGTATGTTTATTGAGGCATTATTCACAATAGCAAAGACTTGGAACCAACCCAAATGTCCAACAATGATAGGCTGGATTAAGAAAATGTGGCACATACACACCATGGAATACTATGCAGCCATAAAAAATGATGAGTTCATGTCCTTTGTAGGGACATGGATGAAATTGGAAATCATCATTCTCAGTAAACTATTGCAAGAACAAAAAACCAAACACTGCATATTCTCACTCACAGGTGGGAACTGAACAATGAGAACACATGGACACAGGAAGGGGAACATCACACTCTGGGGACTGTTGTGGGGTGGGGGGAGGGGGGAGGGATAGCATTGGGAGATATACCTAATGCTAGATGACGAGTTAGTGGGTGCAGCGCACCAGCATGGCACATGTATACATATATAACTAACCTGCACATTGTGCACATGTACCCTAAAACTTAAAGTATAATAATAATAAATTTTTAAAAAAGACTTTAAAAAAAATTTAAAAAATATAATACACGAAACGTCTTGTAGAAGTTTTAAAGTAAGATTCATCTGTGAGTCACCTGTAGAACACACTTTAAAGGTGTTGGTTAACAACCTCTGTGTATTGCTATTCATAGACATGTAACTATACATCTGAGTCTGCACAGATACTCATATATGTGTAATCCTAAAGGTTTTTGATAAATGTGGAATAACTTAACCAACTTTATGAATTTAATTAAGCTTTTCCCCACATGGTGTGTTGGAAAAGACAGCAGTTCATAGAAAGACCATAATCTAAAAAAAATATATATATTTTTCAAAATGGGAACCAGGTCTACAGGGCAAATGGGACATTTTGCTTGTCAGCAAAATAAATTTATTCTGAATTTATGAATGGATAATAAGCCACCTTTTCACAATGATTAATGGTAATTAACCTTTTAAAGCTCCATCACTTACCTGGCCATCTTTGGCTGACAGTCATTGAACACAGTAGAGAATGCTGATGGTAAAAAGACCTTCCTCTGGACTCCCAAGGTCCTATAAGGTAGACACCATTAGTTTTGTGCGAAGAGGTGGCAAATCTGATGCAGCCCTAGATAACTTCAGACAAAAAAATATACACATACTCTGTAATGGAGAGAAGCTTTTATCCTGTAGGGACAACTGGACTAGAGGACAGTCAGCTCTACTGCTTGAAGCCACGTGACTTCAGCAACATCTTTTCACTTGTGTGCACCCACCTCCTTTACCTATAAAATGGATGAGTAGCGATTTTATTAACAATTATCATTTTAAGTGAAGGGTCCTGTTGGCTGGCATAGGAAAAATGCAAGCCCCTTTTAAAACAACATCATATTAAAGCTGTCTCTCAGCAAGCTGGCACTTGTCACACATCCTAAGACACTAACCTGGACCCAAGATATGCTCCATGTCTTTGCCTGTTTCAGCGGCCACCACCTCTGACAATATGAACATCAAAGATAGCTGGGAAGTAAATTCTGGAATGGGCTTTAGCACGAAAGATGTTTATTGGGGGTATCCTTAGAATCAACACCTGTGGAAGTAAGAGAAAGTAAGTAAGATTTCAAAAAATTCAAGATGTGATGCAGGCAAGACAGACTTGGCTGACCCCAAAGAGAATCATGGAGTTAGAATGGTACATCAGAGTTGTTCTGAACCAGAGTCAATGGCCAAAACCTTATACCCCTACAGTGATCAATTCTTGACTGTGGGTTGCCCCAGTAAGGATCACGATCTTGAGACCCACAACATGAGAGAATCCCTGCAGGGGCGAGAGTTGAAAGTCATTTGCAGATGGCACTCCTAGTTGCTGAGACCACCTCAACTTCACAAAAGGGTGGCCCATTACAGTATCTTCCACATTGATTGATAGATTAACTGATTGCACACTTATTGAGCATTTACTATGTCCCAAACAGGCTATGCTGGGGCTGCTACCTGCTTTATCACTTCTAAGTCTCATCACAACCCTATCAGATAGGTATTCAAACACACTTTTTCACATGAAATGAAGGCTCAGTTAGTTGTGCAATTAGAATTCAAAACAAGACAATGTTAACTTGCATGAGTCCAAGAGTTTGCCATATGCTGAGAGACAACTTGCACTTTTATTGTGTAAATTATCAATTGTTTTCAGTACTTATCTGATTTTTCCTTGGAGATTGTTTCTACTTTCCCCTGTTTCAAATTTTATTCCTCTGTAGGATTTATTCCAGACCATAACTCACACTTCCCCAGCCAGGTGGAAGTAATTGTTTCCTCATTTTGTTTTCAGAGACTATGGCTAGCTCTAGGAACTCACAGAAGTTACTCATCTTCCCTATGTCTCTGTTTCCATTATCTGTAATATGGGAATGATAGTAACACCTATCACATCAAACTTCTAAGAAGATTTTAAAAACGAATGCATAGGTATCACACAAGCAAATGCCAAGTGTTTGTTCTTCTTCTTATTTGCATATTTCATGAATAAAAATAAATCAGTGGATAACTGTTTTTGTTCATGTATCATATTTACATATAGGTAGACACATGTATAATAAAATTCACATGTTCATTGATCTTCTTGTTAATTAGAATCATAAGATAGAGATTGTGTGATAATTACCCGGATATACTTAGAGCTTAGCATAATATCTCATACCAGTAGGTTTACCCAATAAAAAGCTATTAAATTGAATTACATTTCAACAATAAGTAGCCAAGTTTTATCAATCATAAATCACAGACATCTTTCAAAATTGTTCATTTCTGTCAGTGTATTACCCTAGCCCAAGCCACCATCATTTCTTCCTTCTGATTTAAAGTCATACAGATTTGGAATCAAAGTAGGCTGACATTCGTATTTAACTAGTTTAAGCCTCTATTTCTACATCTGTGAAATAGGAACAGATAGAGAACCTACTTCATGGGGCTGAAAACAGAATTAAATGAGATATGTAAATTAACTAATTAGTTCAAGGCATGGCATATAGCAAGACCTCAGCAATTGCTGGTTTTAATCATAACAATGACAATCACAACCACCAACCCAAGCATTTTTCCTGTTGTTGAGTTTATTCTCTGCTGCTTAGCCTACTGTAGGGATAAAACACCAGATTAGAAGTATAATGATATTGTACAAAGAGCAAACACACTGAGTATGGTTTTATCAAATAAACTTGTTCTTAACTTTGAGCAAGTAACATAATCTGTTTTAGTCTTGCTTTTTTCATTTGTAATATGGGAATAGTAATAATGCATATATCATAGAATTTTTAGGGTAAATGATATAATCTACCTATATAAGCATTTATAGAACAATGAGACCCAGTCAACAAGTACGAATGTTAGCTTTGACTCATACTATTAGCATGTGTGCAAAATAACAATTCATGGTGGCTTTAGTGGCAATATTGAGAGAGCTGGGTAATTCTGGCACACAGTAGGTCCTCAGCGCTCATTGAAGTCTTTCTATTGCCTACATTGTTGTGTCCTGAGAAGAGACAGCTGGCTCCTCACACTACAACCTGCACAATGCACAGGAGAATGTTAAACGGTGGGGAAAACACTCTGACGAAAGCTGTTTTAATGAGACATCCCATTAGCTCTGCTGCTCCCAGGTCATGCTGCCTGTGTCAGAGCAAGAACACTAATGGACTAGGTGGTCATGTCTTTCCGTCTGACTAGACTCTGGGTTTTTAATAAAGCAAGCAACCCACACACTCAGGCAGCTTGGGTGTGTGTATGTGTGCCTGTGTCTCCAATGATAAACAGTTTTCATCCTAAAAAAAGACTCGAGAAAAAAAACAACAGGACAGGAAGGCTCAAAATGTCCTCTCATTTGCACCAATCAGAGAGAAGCTGACCAAGACCTTCCTACACATGCGGATAACCCTCACACAGGGCAGAGAGGAGTAAAAAAACACGCTGCTTTTCCAGGGGGGCCATAATACACTCAATAGCGTTAATAAAGAGTAGTGTCAGCTGCCTGGCTTCTTAATGATGAATAATTCATACACATCAAAGCAGCCCTCACAAAGTATTTTTTCCCGTGGCCTCAAAGACAATGAAATCACAGCAAAGATGTCAAAAGGGGAAAGTTTTTTCAAATCACATCATCCCCCTATCTCTCCTCCCTACTCTGTAATATCCATTCTCTGGACTTGATTAAAATCAATTGTGATATTAGTTTATAAACACATTATTAAATCTTTTTATTTGCTTCTTATTCTGTGTAATGGCAAACTCCTATTCAGCCCTCAAAGCCCAGCTCAAAAGCCATCACTTTTTGAAGTCAACTCTGCCATCCACTTTCCCAACAGTCAGTCTAATCGTTCCCTTAGGTTAAACATATTTGCTTTAATACAACTGTTACTAAGACCTTATTCCTTTAAATCTTTGGCTCAGACTTGGAACCTCTTAAGCTTAGACACACTGTCTTATGTATTACAGAATAACCAGCACTCAATTTAAAGCCTGGGGTACAGTAGGCACTCAAAAAATGTTCATAGGAAATTGGAATGACTTGAATTCTTGAAATAAATAAAGATCATACTTAAAGAGAAGCACTGGAATGCTAATATAGATTAAGCCTATGAAAAGGAAAATTAGATGAAAAGAGTATTTCCAAAAACTCACAAACATCATTGAGGATTATTCTTATCATTTAGCATTTACTAAGAACCTAAATCAAAGGCTTAGAAATGCAAGGAGTGGGGGGGATCTGTTTGGAGGGCTTATCAGCACTCTTTAGGAGGGCAAGCATGTTAAGGAGAAATATTTATCAGAACTGAGATAAAATTAAAATGGCAGAATCACAATCTAGGTTATTTTTGTAGTCTGTCTTAAAATATCCTTATCCTCCCTTTCTTTTTGATCATCATAAATGACAATTTACTACAGACATACACACATCAAAATGAAGATGTTACCCACTTTTTGTATTTCTCAACTGGCTGCTGCTTCAACAAAACACCATTTCAATGTCAGGAGGGAACACATTTCTTTTTTGGAGTAAATGCTTGTTATCAAAGGAAAAAAGATATATTTTTAAGCTAAACTCTTTATTCTCTGAAAATATTATAATGCTTATAATGTGCCAGGTGTTGTACTAATCACAAAGGGAACATTTGGACTGTAAGTCATAGGTCTCACACTCACAAACCTCCTAGTTCATTAAGATAGAAAGATGCCATGAGATAATTATGAGGGGACCTCAAAAATTTCATAGAAAATGCATATTACAAAAAAACTATGCATTGATTTAAAAGATGTTTGCACCAAAAAAAACTCATACTAACTTGTTATAACATGTCTGAAGGGCATCTAGTTTGAGGCACTAAGAAGGGCAAGACATCAGTTTGAAAGGAGCACCTCTCTCAGTAACATGAATTCTGCTAAAATTGAAGCAAGAATGAACATCAAATTTATGGTAATGTTTGAGTGGAACAATGGTCAAATCATTGATGTTTAAAAAAAGTTTATGGAGGCCGCATGCGGTGGCTCATGCCTGTAATCCTAGCACTTTGGGAGGACGAGGTGGGTGGATCACGAGGTTAGGAGGTCAAGACTGTCTTGGCTACCACGGTGAAACCCTGTCTCTACGAAAAATACAAAAAATTAGCCAGGCCTGGTGGCAGGCGCCTGTGGTCCCAGCTACTCGGGAGCCTGAGGCAGGAGAATGGCATGAACCCAGGAGGCAGAGCTTGCAGTAAGCGGAGATCACACCACTGCACTACAGCCTGGTTGACAGAGTAAGACTCCGTCTCAAAAAAAAAAAAAAAAAAATTATGGGAGACAGTGCCCCAAAGAAATAAGCAGTTTGCAAATGGGTACAAGAGGAAAAGATGATGTTGAAGATGAAGCCCACAGTGGCAGACCAGCCACATCAATTTTGGAGGAAAAACTTCATCTTGTTTGTGCTCTAATTGAAGAGGACTGGCAATTACAGTATAAACAATAGCCAATACCTAGACATCTCAATTAGTTCAGCTTACACAATTCTGAATGAAAAATCAAAGTTAAACAAACTTTTCGCTCTATCAATAGGTGGCAAAAGTGTTATACCCAGATCAGCTACAGAAAAGAGCTCAGCTTTCGGTGGAAATTTTTAACAAGTGGGATTAAGAGCCTGAAGCATTTCTTCAAATAAATGTAATAGAAAATGAAGCATGGCTTTACCAGTACAATACTGAAGACAAGGCACGATTAAAGCAAAGGCTACTGATATGGTTTGCCTGTGTCCCCACTCAAATCTCACCTTGAATTGTAGCTCCCATAATTCACATGTGTCATGGGGGGAGACCCAGTGGGAGGTAACTGAATCATAGGGGTGGGTTTTTCCTGTCTTGTTCTCGTAATCGTGAATAAGTCTCATGAGATCTGATGGTTTTAGAAAGTGCAGTTCCCCTGCACACGTTCTCTTGCCTGCAACCATGTAAGACATGCCTTTGCTCCTCCTTCACCTTCCACCATGATTATGTGGCCTCCCCAGCCATGTGGAACTGTGAGTCCATTAAACCTCTTTTTCTATTTCTCAGTATTTCTTCATAGCAGTATGAAAATGGAATAATACAGCTACCAAGAGGTGGAAGTTGTCCAGTCAAAGCAAAAATGGACCAGCCAAGAACAAAGATTGTGTCAACAGTTTTGGGGATGCTCAAGACATTTTGCTTGGTGACTTTCCAGAGGGCCAAAGGGTTTCTTATGAGTGTGTTTTGAGAAAATTAGCCAAAGCTTTAGCAGAAAAATGCCCAGGAAATCTTCACCAAAGCATCCTTCACAACCATGGCAATGCTCTTGCTCATTCTCTCAACAAACCAGGGAAATTTATCAATAGTTTCTGTAGAAAATCATTGGGCATCCACTTTACAGTCCTGATCTGACTCTTTCTGACTTCGTTTTTTTTTTTTTTGTTTCCTAATTCTAAGAAAATCTGTAAAGGGTGTCAATTTTTCTTCAGTTAATAATATAAAAAAGATTGCATTGAGGTGGTTAAATTCCCAGGGCTCTCAATTTTTTTAGGGATGCTCCGAATGGCTATTATTGTGGCTTATAAAAGTGTCTTACACCTAGTGGAGCTTATGTTGAGAAATAAAGTTTATGTCTTTATTTTGTAACTTTTAATTCCATTTTTCCATGAACTTTTTGAAATCCCATTGTGTTTTAAAGTATTTATTTCTGCTTTACGTACAGAGTTATGGTTTTGCAGAAGGTGTGATAACTGATTCTTTCTGGAAAGTTAAAAATGGCTTCAGAGAAAATATGATTTTTTAAATCTTATTATTATTATTTTTAGACAGGGTCTCACTCCAGTCACCCAGGCTGGAGTGCAGTGGCATAATCATGGCTCACTGCAGCCTCAACTTTTTAGGCTCAGGTGACTCTCCCATCTTAGCCCCCTGAGGAGCCGGAACTATAGGCATGTGCCATCACTCATGGCTAATTTTTAGTATTTTTAGTAGAGATGAGGTTTTGCCATGTCGCCTAGGCTTGTCTTGAACTCCTGGGCTCAAGCGATCCATCCGCCTCAGCCTCCCAAGTGCTGGGATTACAAGCGTGAGCCGCTGCATTTGGCCAATCTGATTCTTAAAGGGCAGGTAAAAGGATATTTTCCACTAGACCAAAGGCCGCTGGATCTCATCAGGAGTTAGCAGTACTTTCAAAGGTCTGGAGTTGTAGAAGGTATTGGTGGAAAGTTTTATGTAGGTGGGGTACCTAATTCAGGGCACGGGATGAGGCAGGTGAAGAGAGAGAAATTGGAAGATGCCCATTGCTTGAAATTACAATTTAATAAGTATAGTCTTTGTTTTGTTCTGTTTTAAGATGACACTGTCAGCCTCTTGGGTGGTAGAATGGGAAAAAATGCCTACTAATTAACTATTTTTTTGCAGCGAATAAAATGATGACAGTTTGAACCAAGACTGTGGAATGGAATGAAGAAAAATAGATCAGGTCATTGAAGGTATCAAAAGCTTTCTAGGGATAAATAAAATGCATATAAATTGAACATGAAAGTAAGAGTGTGGAAGAATCAGGAATGGCTGAGTAGGGATGGAAGGAATTTTTTTTATGAAATGAGTTAAAAGTTACATAGTTTCAAAAAAGCTAAGAACATAGACCAGTTCATTTAAAATGGGTATGTTGAAACCAAAGATAAAAAGACTATTGCAAATTGAGACACTGTACGCTGTGAGTGAGGGGATGTAGGAAGATGACCTGGGCTGCAAGTCTAGACTGTTTTGGCTGCTAGATAACAAAATACTATAAACTGAGTAGCTTGTAAACAACAGAGATTTATTTCTTACAGTTGTGGAGACTGGGGAGTTCAAGATTAAGGCACTGGCAGATTTAGTATCTGGTGAGGGCCCACTGCCTGGTGCATAGACAGAGACTCCCAGCTGCATTCTCACATGGTAGAAGGGGAAATGAGGACTCTCTTCGGCCTCTTTTATAAAGACAGTAATCAAGTCATTCAGGCACCACCCTCATCATATAATCACCATCCAAATGTCCCACCTCCTAATATCATCACCTAAGGGGTTAGGCTTTCAATGTATGACTTTTGAGGGGACACCAATATTCAGATCATCCAATGAATCACAGCAGGACTCATACCTGTAATTAGCTTCCAGATCATATACCTGAGCTTAGAAGAGTGATCTTTAAGGATTATTGGTGTAGGTGTCTTTCAACCACATCAGGTAAACTGGTGAAGAAGGCATGAGAGCACATCTTGCTTCTCCTCTCCCACCATCACCTGAAACCTTGAGTTCCTTACCCAGTCAGCAATTAAGATGTTGCTATTCATGATTCTATCCTCCGTCCTTCATCTGTTGCAGAATCAGCTGGGAACAATGACTGCCAAAAGTGTCCAGAGGAAGTCTGCAGGACCTGGGTCTCTCCTAGGTGGAATATTCTTTGAAATCAGGTAACAGATACAGTTTGGGCTAAAGAGTGGAGTGGGTATGGGAGGGAAAACAACAGAATCGTCTGTGGAGGAATCATGGCTATGACCAGAAAGACACAAATGGAGTTAAACTGATACCCCAGACATGTCAGGGGAGCCCACAAAAAAGTGGTCAAAAGCTTTTAAAAAATGATAAAGTCAGCATAGGGCCATGTGGGCAGCTTAAGAACCAGTCCTCCATTAGCCTATACTTCTCACCTAGGGGAGTTTAATCCATCTTTGATCATTGTCAGTTTATGTCTCACCCAGTATTGGCAGGAATGGTGCAATACAGCTTCTTAAATAAGCCTGGCATGGTGAGGCAGGTGAAGCCCTGTCTCTTGGTAAACATGTAGAAAGCCTGCCATTGGTTAGACTAACTGAATAAAAAATTTGAATGCCTTGTCAAGCAACTAAAATTGTTTCATATCCATTTCTGAAATACAAGATGCTGGCTCTTCATTCATTAATTTTTAACAAATATTTACTGAGTGCATACTACGTGTTAGGCATTATTCATAACCCTGAGGATGTGAAACAGCAAAAAACAGACATAATTCCTGCTTCCATGGAATTTTCAATCTCTTGAGGAATGATAGACATTAATAAAATAATCACAAAACTAAATAATTAATTAAAACTGAAATTAGAGCTCAAATAGGAAGAAACATATTTCTATGAGAGCATGTAGCAAGCAGACATGACTTAGACTGAGGGGTGAGATAAGGCTCTCCAAGGAAGCAAGACTTGAGCTGTGAACTGAAAGGTAAGTGTGGTAGACCCAAACAGCAGGAGCAGCACTTGCAAAGATCCTGTGGCCAGGGGTCCTGAAAAATTTCTGTTGTGGCTGGGAATACAGAGAGTAGACATGTTCTAAGAAGAGGCTGAAAGTCAAGGGAGGAGCTATACAGATTCCTTGCTAAGGTTTTGGATTTTTCTCTTTATTATTCTTAGAGCAGCAGGTTTCCATAGACAAGTAATTTCCATGATTGTGTTGCTTCAAAATGCATACTGCTTTTATATACTTACCTCTTCAAAACCACACTTCTTGGCCAGAGCTATGTATCTGTGTGAGAAGGAAGCCAGAGATGGAGAAATGAATCAGACAGGTTTACAAACCTGGAGAAACCCAGTGTTTAGAAAAGAGGGAAGTAGCTAGATAATGATGCAACAGTGAAAATAATGGTAGGAGAAAGAAAAGCCTAGAGAGGGTAATAGGGTAAGCCTCCTTACCAGCCCTCAGGAAGCAAGGACAGATTCCCAGACTAGTAACATCTGAACCCAAAGGGCAGAGAATAATAGCTCATATCTGGTAAGTGCTTACTGTGTGCCAGGCACTAGGAAGTGCTTTTCATCTATATTTAAGGTAACAAAAGCCATATGAAGTGTATTCTATTATTATCCTTCTTTAAAAAGATGCAGAAACTGAGGATTGAAAACTTGAAGCAATTTGTTCAAGATCACACAGTTGGGACAGAGGAGGGCCAAGATTTGAACAAGGATGCTGTCTGCTAAATGTAAAGGCTGGAGGGCAGGGAGATTGAATTGTATATTTCAGATGAAAATATTAAAACATGAGATGTGTTGATTTAGAATAATTATAGCCTCTTCGAGAAATGTTTGAGGGCTTGTAAGTGCAGCTATCTTTGCCCAAATTTGGGGATAAGAGCTTGAGCCAAAATAACACGAACCTCCACTCTTAACAGAGTGGAACCTTTTGTGCGGTGAGTGCTTCAGAAATGAGAAATGCATATGCATCAGAGAGCGCATTAGTACTTAGACAATCCAAAAAGACCTGTTTTTATATCATTTGACTTTTCTTCTTTCCTCCTGTAATTACTTCATTTCAGTGAAATCACGCTGTATTATGATTTAACAACTGGAACAGTCACTTAAGCATTGATATTTTGCAAGCTCCTTTCTAATGTTCCCACCCACAATCTGGCCTAAAAAGGGAGAACAATGAGCGATCACTTAGGGGCCCAGATAAACCACACAGGAGTGCTCACTGGTCACTTTTGCTGTTTGAATCCTGCCCTGGTTATCAGCTGCCAGTATTCTGCCAGGAAACTCTAAGGTAGAATAATCATGGGACTAAGCAGGAAAGAGATTGCAATTTTTAAAGCATAGAGAAATTGGCATGGGGTGAAGATGTTGTAACTACAGGTTGCAACCATACTTCCTCTTTTAAAATTGACTGTTTCCTTCCACAATGTTGTAAGTACGTTTCTTTCCCCAGCCACCTCCAGATAAAAAGACAAAATGCCTCCCAAAGCTACGAGATGAACTACAGAATTCTAATTGTTCCCATGCTTCCTGAAGATTTGAAATTCCAGCCTGTGCTTCATTCCCATGCAGTTCTTGTTAACTCCACACATGGGTAAATAATCAAAGGTATCTAGTGGTCAATGAGTGTTTTCTTTGTAAAATGTATATCTACTAGGAATAGGTAGAGCTCTGAGCACAGTGACTTTTCTGAAGTACAGACTTTTAGCCCCAGGGGAAAAAAAAAAAATCTTAAAGACTGCTTTCTCGGCCCTGTAGTTGGACAAATAAGGGGGCTTTGGTCCTGATACGGATGTGAGCTGCCCAAGCTTGCAGGGTGAACTATGGGCTTCCTGATCCTAGCTGCTGTTATTTCAACTATGCTGCCCTGACCTAAATAGCTTTGCATTTCATACTAAGCAGTATGTCCCCTTACTTCCTAATCAAAGGTGTAATCAATCATCATTTGCAAGGCATTCATTTTGAGAAGTAGGAAATGAAATTCCCCAAATGTGGTTACATTCTAATTTGCAGGGAACCACTGATTCAGGAAAAGGAACTCCTTTAAGGGAAGGTCACCAAAATGTATACTGGCACAAATCGTGCCACTAAAAATTACTGTGAATCTAGAGCAGGGGTCAGCAAACTTTTTCTGTAAAGGGCCAGATGGCAATTACTGTAGGCTTTGTGGGCCAAATTGTAGTTACTAGCAACTCTGCTCCGTAACAAGAAAGCAGCCACAGATAATACAAAAAGGAACAGGCATAGCTGTGTTCCAATAAAACTTTACTTATGGACACTGAAATTTGAATTTTACATGCTTTTCACATGACATAAATTTTTTTTCTTTTTTTGATTTTGAAAAATAATTTTTAAATATGAAAAATATTTTTAGCTCAGTTATACACGAATGAGCAGTGGGCTGGATTTGCCCCTCCTGCCATAGTTTCTGGTCCCTAATATAGAGGAATTGTAGCTGTTTCTCACTATGGTTTGTACCATTAGAAAATATACATATGATGGTAAAAATAATTATTTTCAGTACAAATCCTGTTTTTCATTGCACTGAATGAAAAAATATCTAGATATTTCCATGTAGAGAAGTGTCCAAAATATTTAAAGGTATAAAGTAAATCCCTTTACTTCGTGGATTATAATCTTCATCAAATAGGGTTATATTTCATTTGTCCTCAAATAACCGACATCACAAGCACCTAATAAGTGATTCTTTGCTAAAATAAACCATGTCAATGCCCTCTGTAGGATCCTTCAAAATCTCCCTCTCACTGTAGATTTCATGGTTTCCAGAGCAGTTTTAGTGTTCTTTTAGATTTTCATTCATTCATTTGTTCATTTATTCAATAACTATCTCTTGAGCACCTATATAGTGGCATTCAAGGCTCTCTATGATATGATAATGGCCTGATTCTGATCTCGTGTCGTGACATGCCTGTATACACATTCATTTACTTATTCGATCCACTGATACTGGCTGTTTAAAATCTGCCAGTCACTGTTTGAGCTACTGAGAATAAGTAGTGGACAAGCCTATTAGAATTCCAGTCCTCATGGAGCTTTCAGCCTAATCACAATGAGCCAGGCGTGGTGGCTCATGACTGTAATCCTAGCACTTTGGGAGGCCGAGGCAGGCATACTACCTGAGGTCAGGAGTTTGAGACGGAGAAACTCCATCTCTACTAAAAATACAAAATTAGCTGGGCATAGTGGCACATGCCTGTAATCGCAGCTACTCAGGAGGCTGAGGTAGGAGAACCACTTGAACCCGGGAGGCAGAGGTTGTGGTGAGCTGAGATCACGCCATTGCACTCCAGCCTGGGCCATAAGAGTGAAACTCCATCTAACAAACAAACAAACAAACAAACAAAAAATCATGATGAATGAACGAGTTGCAACTTTGACAAAGGCTAGGAAGTAAAAGGACAAGGTGCTGTGAGATCGCGTTTCTCTCTATTCCAGTCATGCTGAATCTCTGGTGAGTTCCAACACTAGCTGTGCTCACCCATGCAAACACCTCTGACATGGTATCCTAGGCTCCTCAAATTCTGGGTAACTTCAATCGTCCACATTCAAAGGTCCCAGGATTGGGCTCCTTCCCATGCGAGCAGTCTAACTCCACCTGCCCAAGCAGAGTGGGCCATAACTGCAGCTGTGCCCCCATAGCATGCTGCCCTACTGTGATTGCTTCCTTTACATCTCCATATTTTATTAGTCTTGGAACCCTTCAAGTAATCATAGAGGTCTAGCTCAGCATTGTCAGCTTCTGTGCCAGTTGCCCAGCACAGTGTCAGGCTCAGCAGATAGGCAATGTTGAACAGAATTCAAGCATCATGACACATGGAGAGTCACTCACTGGAATGTTTATACTGTGCATTAAAAATAAGTCAGCCTTTATCATACACTAGTCACTCTTTCCTCTTCCCCTCCCTAAAGACACACCTTTAATTTCACAGCAACTTTATCTAGTATTTGTACTTTTTTCCGGAAAACTCACCTTTAAAGTGGAAGGTCAAGTTGCTTTACTCTCACTTTTTTCATTAAAGAGCCTGTTATGTTACATTCAGTTTGACTCCACACTCAGCAATTCCAGAAGAGAAGTCTCTCTTATTCGAATGGGGACTGGGAAGGCGGCAATAATTTGCAGAATCCAACAGAACCAGGCTAAAACATTTTTCTCCGTCAAGAGATGACACCATTTAACCCCAATTAACTCACATCTCAGGTTCAAGGCTTCGGGTTTACTAACCTGAATCAATACCCTACTCTATCAATTATGTAAATTCAAACCAATGACATTCCTTGACATTTTTGGAATTGGTGTTAAAATCCTGCCAAGCGGGGGCATCATTGGGAGCTACATTATGATCCTGTAGGAAAGTATTGTAGATGGATCATATTTTAGTTTTTTGGGGTTTTTGTTTGTAAGATTGAAAAAAAGAATCACTGGCTGGTTTCCTGAGACAGTGAAGAAGACAAAACACACATCGAGATTCTTCAGATTTCTTCTTAGTGCTGTCATTTATGAAAATTAATGAAAACCATTTAAGAGGGTGTAAATGAGCAACTAATAGATTTAGAAATCGACTCTCACTCACTCTTCCTTTTCTCCGGAGAGAGGAGGCAACAGAGTCTAAAGAAAGAGGGAGGTGAGCAGCTACATTAGGGAGCACAAGCATTGAATTTGGACAGACCTGGGCTCAAATGCAGGTCTGTGCGTTTCTGTATGGCCAAAGGCAATTCATGATAGCTCTAAAAGCCTCATTCACTTCATGTATAAAATGAGGCTATGCCTCACTTCAGCAAAGAGCTTTGCAAATATTACGCAAAACCTGTACCATCATCTCTGGAGTGCTTGGAGCCAGGAACATAGTCAGTGCTCAATAAATATTGGCTAACATTAATGTTACATCCACAACTAGACATTTTAATGCTTCGAGAATCCCAGACTGGTTTCAGTGCTGTCTTTGAATTTTCTTTTGTTCAACCATTCATTCATTTGTTCAGTAAATATCTGCTAGGCAGCTATAAGGTACATGGAACTGCATTACATCCCTGGGGAAGAAGAAATGAATGAGCAAGCCACAGCCCCCCTTTCTCGTGAAGCTCATGGTGCTCCCTAACCTGTCACAAGTAAATATGCCACTTTTCAATCCAGATATTCAAACAATCTCAAGCTTTCTGATGTAGGCAGTTAATCTGCCACGAATTTTCCTTCTGTGCTTGGCACATTGTAGTTGCTCAGTAAATGCCAATTAAATGAATAAATGTCAGTTGAGTGAATAGAAGGGTGATGGTAATGAATGTCTCCTATTCCAGAACACTGATGTGTGAGTCAGAGGACATAGTCCCTTTTTAATGTTTTTAAGAGATTGTGTCTGTGTGTGCATGCACATGCTTTGCTTAATTCACTCTCAGTCAAAGAAAATGTCTTGTGGAGATTTTAACATATTTAGGTTTAAGTTCTGGAACTAAACTTTATATCCAGTTGTCATGACAACTGTTTCTAAGACAATTAAATCCCAATCTGAGTATTCTGAAGGGCCAGTCATTTCTGGAGAGGGCTTTGTTTGGTTGGAGAGGGAGAGTCCTATTCAACTCTGGGCCCTGCATTTTATAGTCAGTCCTCTCAGAAGGAGGTCCCAAATCCATCACCCCTTCTATATTAGTTTGCTAGCCCTACTGTAACAAAGCACCACAAACTAAGTGATTTCAACAACAGAAACTTATTGTGTCACAGTCCTGGAGCTTTGAAGTCCAAAATCAAGGTGTTGGCAGGGTTGGGTCCCTCTGAGGGCTGTGAAGGGGAATCTGTTCCAGGCCTCTCTCCTTGGTTTGTGGACGGCTGTCTTCTCGTTTCACATGGTGTTCTCTCTGTAACCTCATACATCTTTCCTCTATGGGTATCTCTATCCAAATCTTCCTTTTCTTTTTTTTTTTTTTTTTTTGAGACAGAGTCTTGCTGTCACCCAGGCTGGAGTGCAGTGATCCAGGCTGCATCTTGGCTCACTGCAACCTCCACCTCCCAGGTTCAAGCGATTCTTGTGCCTCAACCTCCAGAATAGCTGAGATTACAGGCGCCCACCACCACACCCAGCTAATTTTTTATATTTTTAGTGGATGGGGGTTTCGCCATGTTACCCAGGCTGGTTTTGAACTCTTGAGCTCAGGCAATCCGCCCACCTCGGCCTCCCAAAGTAGTGGGATTACAGGCGTGAGCCACCATGCCCAGCTCAAATCTTCCCTTTTCATAAGGACACCAGTCATATTGGATTAGGGATCACCCTAATGACATCATTCTAACTTGATTACCTCTGTAAAGACCCTATGCCCCAATAAGGTCACATTCTGAGGTATGGAGCTTAGGACATCAACATATGGAATTTGGGGTGGGGGGCACAAATTGATCCATAACACCTTCTCACTGGCATGAGAAATTAGACCTTATCAGAATGCTATATATATCCTCCAAGGTATTATAAAGATGGCATCAACATTCCCTTTAAAAACAATTCCATAGGTTTTTTGGGAACAGGTGGTATTTCGTTACGTAAGTAAGTTCTTTAGTGGTGTTTTGTGAGATTTTGGTATACCCATCACCTGAGCAGTATACACTGAACCCAATTTGTAGCCTTTTATCCCTCACTCCCTCCCCACCCTTTCTCCCCGAGTCCCCAAAGTCCATTGTGTTATTCTTATGCCTTTGCACCCTCATGGCTTAGCTCCCACTTATAAGTGAGAACATACGATGTTTAGTTTTCCATCCCTGCATTACTTCACTTAGAAAAATAGTGTCTAATCTCATCCAGGTTGCTGCGAATGCCATTAATTCATTCCTTTTTATGGCTGAGTGGCATTCCATTGTACATATATAGTTTACATTCCCACCAGCAGTGTCAAAGTGTTCCCTTTTCACCATATCCATGGCAATATCTATTTTTTTTTATTATTGGCATTCTTGTGGGAGTATGGTGGCATCACATTGTGCTTACATTCCCATTTTATAGAGAGGAAAAGTAAGACTCAACGGGGTGAAGCTACTTGCCTCAGGTCAAATAGCTAAGAGAACAGGACTATCCTGGTCGTAGCATGACGCTATGCTAATACCCATATTTTATCCCATCATGTCTAGATGTTTCATGTTCTCTTTATGAGGCAGTCAGAATCTCAAGCAGAAGAACAGCTACTGTAACTTTAGTGCTCGACTCCCTTAGAAGAAGGGCAAAGTCTTCTAGATTCCTCCAATATCAACTTAAAATTAGTTTTGTGCAGCCCTGGCAGGCACAGCAATAAAAGAGATCCAAGGTGCATTTACCTTCCAGGCAGTAAACCTATATGACTGCCAAAGCTGTCATTTTTTTTTTTACCTTCTGAAAATGAAATGTTAATTCCCCCCTTAAGACCCTCCACAGATTTAGTTTGTAGGCTAATAACAGTTCACTTAAGAACAAGAGAAATGTCATCCCTACTTTGACGTGTGATCACAAAATAGAACGATCTTCAAATTCCCTTCAAAAGGGGAAATGTTTATGAATTCACTTTCAGTGGGGGATATAAAGGGATTTGTCAAAACCTGCTGTGATTTCAGCGATGCAGAAAAACAGTGCTGCATTCATTGAGCCAGCCCAAATGTGAGCTCATGAGTGGTACTGTCCTTCTGTATCCCTGCCCTTAGGGCTTGGGGTATTCTCAACCTCGTGGGCTTCTTAGGGTGTCCAGGGCATTCTTTTATTAATTTATGTGTTTGTCCCTTGTGACCTTGATTTGAAAAATAAAAAATACAATGGGAGACTTTTCACCCACATCATCCATAACAGCTCTGGCTAGGTCTTGACACCAGAAATGCCAAAGATATTGAGTTGCCCGGCTTTGTCATTGGGGCTTTACTTTCAACGTCTATGTAAAATCGGCAACTGGATTTGATTTCCTAGTATAGGCTTAAGAAGACTTCACAGCCACTGAGTTTCTTTTGCAGAAAAGGTTGTCAGCAATAGAGGTTAAAGCAACATCTTTCAAAGGCAGAAGGATAATAAAATGTTTTTATTTTTATGTACTAGTTATTTGTTGTCTGATATATAATGCTCATTATTTCATATTGCATTAATTTTAAATTAGGGATAATATACCCATTTTGCTGACTAGGAAACTGAGACTCAGGTGAGTTAAGTAATTTTGGCAAATTCATACAATTCATTTAGGCTCCAAAGTATAGAATCAAACCCACAATGATTTGACTCTTCATACTGTACTATGATTCCACCTATTATAAAATATCCATATTCACCCAAACATCTGCTCTCTGGTGGTTTGTGCTACCTTTATGACAATGAAGTCACTCACTTTACAAATGATGAAATATATCAGTTCTCTTAATAATGCTATAAGAGATACAGTTCCAGAAAGTTTGACAATTTGTTAGATGTCTCCTCATTTCGGATGAAGCTTACTTTTATCCACTTTAGACCCTTCAAGGACAATTTCTGTGAAGCTAATTCTTTCAGTGAAGAAAATATGAAGAGCCAGCATCTAAATTCTTATGGGCCTGGCTGTCACTTAACATCTGCTGGAGAAGAGTAGTGGGGTAGAAATAGTACAAGCCTGCAAATCAAGAAACTTGAGGTATTTGTTTTCATTCTGCCTTTGACTGGTTGCATGACCTTTGACAATTCCCCCAAGTCGTACGATGTCATTTCTAAGATAAGTAAAGAATGGGTGCACTATTTAAACACACACACACACACACACAATATAAATATGTTAAATTATAAATACTCAATAATTTGAAGAATTCTACTAAAATTGGCTTCTGTACTAGGGCTCTTACATACTTTAAGTATTAAAATTATTCCTCTTAAACAGATGAGATGTTAAGGGTCCCAGACATGTAAAGAGCTTCCATACTCATACACTGATGAAGTTGCAAATCAAACTCAGTAGTGTCTGGTTCCTAATTCATGTTCCTTCTACAATATTCCTTTACCTACGGTCATCTGAAATATTTTACTATAAATCAAATATATTCAACTTTGAACATGAAGTTGAGTCCAAAGGAAGCTCAGTGTATGATCCAATCTGCTAACAGGTTCTCTGTCTAGGTCCAGAGGTGCTTTTCTGGACCACAGGAGAACCAAGCCCATGGGTGTACATGGTCAGTCAATTGGACAGAGGTCTCAGTTGACCAAAGATCCCCTGAACTTGAAGGTGATCAGGGAGAGGAGGACCGGCAATCATTAGACTCATGTACAGATCTATTTCCATTCTCAGGAGTAGAACAGAATATTTCATCACCAACCACTCCACCTGCCTTGAGAATTTGGCTTGTTAGCCATACACCTGCTATACAAATTTTCCATTTTCTATTTGACTACAGTTCCACTTTTCTGGCTATGATTTCCTGCGAGGGAAAATTTATGACTTCACCTAAACAAACAACTATGACCACAACCTACCTTTGCAACACAACTGGGGAGATTAATCTTTAAAATATGGGGTAGGGGGCATTTTGGCATCCTCATTAGTTGTTATATTCTATTTCTATTCCATTTTAGGAATATATATCTTTTTTATTGTAAAAACAAAACAAAACAAAAAATAAAACAACAACAAAAGGAGAAGGGCTCAAAAATAAATAAATATTGATCCAAGATTCAGGGTAGGTTCCACTTCCAGACCCAAACCACCCACCATCATAGACTCTTCAAATGATCTACTTCCATAATTCCAAAAATTATTTGATTTTGTTTGCTTTTGTCTTTGTCACATGCCCAAGCTCTCCTCATTTTTCACTGCAACTGAAATGCTTATTCAATAATTACAAATTAAGCACTTATTAAGTCACATAAAGTGGTCATTGGGACAGAGACTGTTAACTTCAAGCTCATGGTGTGAGAGACAGACATGAAAAATTGGTTAATACAATATAGTGCAAAGAATAGTGACCTTCTCTCCTCATGGGATGGAGATGTGAATTTAGAGATGGCTTATTTCACTTAATTTAATATTTTCTCTCCTTCTCTGCCACACTTCACATTTCAGTTCATTCTGGAACTTGGGTCATCTCCCTTAAATACTGATCCAAATATGTTTTCTCCAACCTCTTTTAACCTACTAACTTGTCAAGTTACCTATATAATTGAGACTAAATCCTTAGGGTATCCTCAATGTTCTAGGCTCATGTTCTGTACATCAAGACTTATCTTCCTCCCTCTCCATGAATCTTGCACTCCACGTAAGCGCTTTTCATCATTCTCCTCATGTTCACAGGAAAACTCATACTTACTCATAACCTTTGCTTTTGCTGTTTCTCCCATCTCATGTGACCTCTGCCTATGAAATTTCTAAGCTTCAGGTAAGCCCCAGCTCTGAACTCAACTCTCTCCTAATATTCCCCAACTAGGCCATGGAATCTTAAAGATAGCTAGATCATCTATGGGCACACTTATCCCAGTTGAGTAATTTCGTTGCCCACCTCCAAGGTAATGAATAATACTATCCCCACTCTACGTTCAGTGACAAAATGATCTCTACATTTTTAGGTAGCTGTACTTCCTATTGAATTATCCTTACCTGTAGGATTTTTCATAGAGCCAAAATTAACTTCTCTGAAACAACACTTTCTTTGGCTTTGCTCTGCCTTTTGGAAAAGAAGAACAATTCTAACATCTTTCTTATGTATCTACCAATCACATGATTGAACCCAGTCATTTTTCTATTATCATCATTCTGCTTAGATCTCTTCTCCAGCCTAAATATCTTAACAGCCTCAACTCTCCTGCAGGTGGGGGAGATGTCACTCTTTCTCAACACCCTGTTCAAATGCAATACCCCAATGCAGCATGTGACCATAGCTGCAGTCTTTATAAAAGAAGATGGTTTACTTATCTCTTCTCTTTGTCATTGATTTTTATTAGAGTAAGTTCATGATTGCTTTTTCCAGCAGCTATTTTATGCTGCTGGTCATGGTGAGCATGAGGTCAACCAATGCAGCCCATTTTTCTGCAGGGACTGCCATTTAGGTAGGGCTTCCCCATCCGGTGCTTAGAGAGTAGAATTTAAAACTTGATCTCCATAAGCCCATGCAGTTTCCATCCCTCTGTGCTCTGCCTCCGTAAAATAGTTTGCCTGCTTAGTGAACTATGGTTCTAAAGGATGAAAACATCAAATGCATCGGCAAAAATCACAGGTATTGATAACTGGCCTAAAATATTTAAGTGTCATATAATTCCAGCAGACCAAACTGACAGTAATAATAGTGGTGTTTTATACATCAATGTAATAATACTTAATAATGATGCTTTGTATTTATCCACTGCCTTTCTTTTGGAAATGTTGGCAGAGTAAAGTAAATCTAACATTGATATTAAAAAATAAACCCCTAAATTAATACCAGTTTGACATACCCCTTCAAAAAAAAAAAACTCAGAAAGCACAATATAAGGCTCTCTGACAACCTGGAAATGAATGGTTTTGCAAAGCATAAAAAATTTGGCCTGTAGGATGACAAGAAAGTCATATGTCACCTGTGACTAGTTGTAACTCCTACCCTCAGGGTGGGTGTTGGTTTAATTTTGACTCTGGAGAAACGTAGAGCAGTAAAATGTATAAAAAACATGGGCAAGTTCACATCCCTCACTTGTCAGGGATATAAAGCAAAATCAAAATTATTTTCTAAGTCTTTGGACACAAAGTGATTATTTCTGGGGAATGTAAACAGTTGCCAATTCGAATACATATCAGTGGACTCCAGGTCAAGACTAAGGGACCAACAGGGTCAAGAGAACAGGCTGGCATCTGGATAAGCGAGTTATTAGGTATAAATTAATATAGGTAAATACCTCATTTGAAACGGAAATGGTTTGGCTGTGTCCCCACCCAAATCTTACCTCGAATGGTAATAACCCCCATATGTCAAGGGCAGGGCCAGGTTGAGATAATGTGATCATGGGGGCAGTTTTTCCTATACTGTTCTCTTGGTAGTGAATAAGTATCATGGGATCTGATGGTTTTATAAATGGGAGCTCCTGAACTCCTCCAAGTTCTCTTGCCTGCTGCCATATAAAACATGACTTTACTTCTCCTTTGCTTTCCGCCATGATTCTGAAGCTTCCCCAGCCATGTGGAACTGTGAGTCCTTGAAACCTCTTTCCTTTATAAATTACCCAGTCTTGGGTGTGTCTTTATTAACAGCATGAGAACAGACTAATACAGAAACACTGCATCAATTACCATAAAAGTAATTTATAGAGGAGACATTCTAAGGGATAACAATGTCTTAGACATAAGAAACACATCTCTAATGGTAAAATTTTAAACATAAAAGTAAACAGAGAGAAAATAAGATATTGAACCTAATTATAGGTCTTTCTATTTCTTCAAGTTAACCATGCAGTATGCGGTAAAAGAATAATTTAATATCAGATTGGCCAATATTTCTCAAGCTAAGAAGGAAAATACAATTTATTTTTCTCCCTGATTCTCTCTTTTACACACTAATTCCCAATACCTATATTTGTTAAGTAGTTATCATGTGCAGAAGGAAATAAAACATATGATTTTTAAACAGTCTCTGTTTAAAGTGAGTAGAATCAACAAGGAGATAAAAACGTCAACATAACCAAAATCTAGGAAGGAAGTAGCTGGATGACACAATGTGCAGATAAGATCTCTGTAGGATTAGTGGGAGGATGACCTCATGAGGGATAGTAACAATCAGAAGTAAGACCTTGGAGAAGATTTTGTGACCTATGGAGATAGAGAAAGGGCATCCAGAGAAACAGAACCAATAGGATATATAGATAAAGATTTATTATGAGGAATTGGCTTACATAACTATGAAGGCTGAGAAGACCCAAAACTTGCCATACATTAGCTGGAGGCCCAGGAAAGCTGGTTCCAGTCCCAACCCAAAGGCCTGATAACCAAAAGAGTCAATGATGTAAGTCCCACTCCCCAGTCTGAAGGCCTGAGAACCAGGAGCACTGACATCCGAAGGCAACAGAAAGTGGATATTCCAGCTAAAGCAGAAAGAGCAAATTCACCCTTCCACATTTTTGTTCTGTTCAGGTGTTCAAAGGATTGGTTGGCTTCTACTCACACCATTATCAGATTGGCCAATATTTCTTAAGCTAAAAAGGAAAATACAATTTATAAATATAAAATACATGGGGAAGAGAAATCTACTCTACTCAGTCTACCAAGTCAAATACTAATTTCCTCTAAAAACATTCTCACAGACATAGCCCCAAGTTTTACCAGCTTTCTGGGCATCCCTTAGCCCAGTCAAGTTGAAACATAAAATTAACTATCACAGCATCCTAGGGTGGGTAAACATCCATAGCAAAGACATCTAAAAAGAAGAGGAGATACGGTGTTTTTGGTCTAGGCCACAGGGGGCATCATTGACACTATTTTGTGATAACCTATTTCATCGTAGATGCTGTTACTTTCGTTAGGGTTGTCTCTATGAGCTTTTAATCCTCAGCATAATTCTATTGTTCAATATCCAATCTGTCATGACAGAAAACTTTTTATTAAGCAGTTACAATATGATCACCCTTTATGCTAAGCATTTTGAATTTTGTGGTATTTTTGGCCAAAATAATTGACTTCCCTGTAGCTGTGGACATTGCTGCAACTTTGTAACTGCCTTCTGATTTTGGACTTGTTTTGTGGCAAAGATGTTGTTATACTAGATCTGAGCCCAAGCCTCAAAAGGTTTTGAATCTCTCTTTCTCTCTGTCTCCATCTCCTCTCTCTCACTCACTCACTCTCTCTCCTTTTGTCTCTTTCAATCTCTCTCTCTCTCTCTCCCCACCCTCTGTCTCCCCCAGAACTTTGTCCAACCACCATGAGAACAAGTCCAGAGTAGCCTACTGGAGAAAGAAAACTCAGTTTTTCCAGCAAAGACCATTCTAGAATCTTGAGCTAGCCAACTCCCAAACACATGAAAGAACTCAGACAGGATCGGCAAAGCCACCTACCCATCTTGTAGCTGAACATACAAGCAAAAATGAGCCCAGGTAAAACAGAAGAGCTGCCCAAATCACCGGTAGACTCATGAGCCAAAATAAACAGTTGTTTTAAGCCATTGAGCATTGTTAGTTTGTTATGCAGCAACAGCTAGCTGATATACATATACTGCTCACAACCAACTGTGAAACAGGTATTGTTACACATCCCCATTTTAAAGGTGAAATAACTAAAGTTTTAGAGAACGAAGTCACTTGTACTAGGTCACGTGTAGCTAGTATTTTAATTCAGATTGTCCTTTTTCTAGAGCCAGAAGGCTTAACCACTTGCTGATACTGCCTATCCATATGATCCAAATGTTGTAGTTATATTTGGAATAAGTAAAATCAGGCACATATTAAGAAGCAGAAACAAGATGCAAAGTCAGGTCTGCCTTACCCTAAACTCACACACTTGTTGTGCCATCCTATCTTCTCTCACACAAAAGGGAAGCACTGAAAAATCAATACCATGATAAAGGAAGATTGAGGTCAAATCTACATGCTTTTGGACACCAGGGCAAAGAGCTTTAGCTGCTTATGTTTTGAAGATAGTAAGCAGTCCTACAATTATTTTAGCAAAGGTAGTACAAAAGTGCTTACCTTCTTTAGGCAGCGTAGGGGTAGCAGGAACACTTTCAAACATGCCATAACCCAAGAATGAATTCGGTATTTGTGTTTTCTGCCAAGCAAAATATCTCTCTGCAGAAAAGGGCCCTCTCTTTAGCTTAAAAATAAATTCAGGATGAATAAACCTCAAAAACTTCAGGGGCTAGGTCAGAAACATATCTTCCATGCAGAATATAAACACCAACTTTTTGTAGAGTCATGAAGTGTCCATATTTTTTTAAATCATAAAATATGTTGGCATACTTTACTTCCACAAGGACCCCTACCATGAGGATAACCTTAATCCAGCACAAAAGAAAAATATTTACAGGAACTGAGGCCGGTAAGTTGTTCTCCCCTGTGTGATGTGATATACTGACTACTCTGATTATGCAACAGTTTGATGGGCATGGTAGAAAAAAACGCTTAGGAGTATAAATATTAATGCTTAGGCAGTGATTTGTGTAAACTGTGTAGCAAAAACAAAAGTACAAATATAAGTTTTTCACATATTTGCCTTGTCTATGGCATATATTATTCACACCACATGTTTTCCATCTCTACAGCTCTTCTGAGTGACTGGAAACCATATTTCTCAAATACTGAATTCTCATAAAATGTTTTTTGTTTCTTTGTCTTTTTATTTAAATCTTGAATCAGATGAGAATTGTACCTGGTTTGCAAACTGGCACTAAAGCATTAAAATTGGGTTTTAAAAGTTTCTTTTGTGAATATTATGGGATATCCAAAAAGTTCAGGATGGCAATATCAAACAGCATCAAAATGTTTCTAAACTTTTTAAAAAATGTTCTCCTTTTATGTCAAACGATGCAGTGTTCATAGAATAAAAATCTCTAATTCTCTTTTGACATGATCTGTAAGTGAGGAGGTAGTGGAGTTCTTCCTTCCACTCTTAGAATTCTACAAAGAAGCCCTCAGTAGTGACATGGGAAAAGAGGTTCTTCCTTTTCTTTGCTAGAGATGGAAGAGAAGCTGCGTTCTTTCTCCTGTGCCCTGCATAATACACCCTCCACTAATACCGTTACTGCTCATACCTATTGTCCTTAAGAAACACTAATGTGATCCTCTGCTTCTTTCTTCCACCAAGTATCTGTTCTTAAGTTACAACATGTAGCCAAATTGGGAATACACATACTGTGATTCAAACAGATTTCATAGCTTACCTGGCTGATTCTAGTGAACCTTATTGAGGCAGGAACTCCTGACCAGGTTACCATGTTAACCTTGCACAGTTAATAGCACATGAGCTGTGGAGCATCGTATTCTGCCCTAAGAGTTTTCACCCACCTAATCAACAAGTATTTCTGGAGTATCTGTCCACTGTCAGATCTTGTGCTTGGTACTGAGGATATAGCAGTGTGGAATGTAACGAGATGAGCATGGCCCTTGGAGACAGTGGGAGAGAGATAATAAGAGTAAAAAATGAAACAAAGTGATTATTGATTGTGATACATGCTCTAATGGGAATAAACATGGTGGTACCGTATACAATAAGTCTACTCTGCAGAGGAGGACTTCTATAAGGAGATGGCATTGGAGTTGAGACCAGAGTGATGAGACAAAGCTCATCATGTGGAGATGGGCAGAAATACATTACCATAAAAAGTAAAAGGAAGTGCAGAGGGCCCACAATGAGAAGAGCTTGGTATGTTCAAGGAAATGGAGCAGGTAGCAAAAGAGGAGTCCAGGAGACTGGGCAGGATCCAGATCACTTAGTGTATTAGTCCATTTTCATGCTGCTGATAAAGACATACCCAAGACAGGGTCATTTATAAAAAAAACAGATTTAATTGACTCACAGTTCCACATGGCTGGGAAGGCCTCACAATCATGGTGGAAGGCAAGCAGGACCAAGTCACATCTTACATGGCGGCAGAGAAGAGAGAGAACTTGTGCAGGGAAACTCCTTTTCATAAAACCATCAGATCTTGTGAGACTTACTCACTATCATGAGAACAGCATGGGAAAGACTCACCCCTGTGATTCAATTACCTCCCACTGAGTCTCTACCATGAAACATGGGAATTGTGGGAGCTACAATTCTAGATGAGATTTGGTGGGGGGGGGTTGTGGTGCACAGCCAAACCATATCATTTAGACACTTGCCAACCCTAACAAGAAGTTAGAATTTTACAGGAAGTGGAAAGTTTTTGAAGGGTTGCAAGTGGAGATGAAACTTGATCTTATTTATATAGACTCTTGCTCAACACTCAGGATTGGGACTTCCCTCCAAACATTGTTTTGTAGGAAACTTTCCCATAAGGGAGCTTCTGCACTTCTTCTCTGGAGTCAAGACTCCATCCTCACCACAGGGTTTCTGTTTACTGTCTGGGCTGCTACTTGGCTACCCCTTTTTCCCTCTGATGCTGGTAATGATGGCTATCTAGAAATCTCTTCTCCATTACTCTCCCATCACTTCCACATGCTCAAACAGTTATCCCAGCTAAGTCTGAATTCAATGTGTTGCCTCTTGGCAGACTGAGGGTCCAGCTACTGTTGAATATCCACTCGGGAATCTAGACAGGTCTTCATCCTCTTCCTATTGTAACCAGCCACTCAGATCTTGGCATGCCTTCTGAAAGCTGAATCTACAAGAGCTATTCTAATGCTTAATATCCCCAAGCAGAAATAACTCAAGGCAGACATCTACAAAACAGACATGTTTTATGCTTTGTCCTGTTCTGGTCATCTGAATCTTAATTGAAATAAATACACAGTATTTCCCAATCCTAATAAGATCATAGTTTCTTCCTTATTTTTCCCTTCCTTCCTTCCTTCCCTCCTTCCTCCCTCCATTCCTTCCTTGCTTCCTTCCTACCTTCCTTCCTTCTTTCCTCTTTCTGTCCTGTTTTCTTTCTTTTTCCTTCTCTACCATCCCTCTCTACCTTCTTTACTCTTTGGTCCTTCTCTACCATCTTTCTTTTTCCATCCTTTGTACTTTAATAACTAAAAGAAAGATGAAGTCCCTTAAAGGATTTATGAACATGATAATCCTGGTAATAATACTAATTATGATGATAATAAAATTATCATAGCTAACACTTATTATAAATCCTCACAACTCTAATTGGTACTATTAATATCGCTATTTAAACATGAAGAGCTTGAAACCTGTAAAGGCTAAGGCACTTGTCAAGGTCACAGAGGTGGCATAAGACAGAACTGGGTGGCCCAAATGCAAAGGTCATGTATGCCTCACCATGCTTTGTTGGATACCTTGTATTGTGAAGCATGAGTGAGCCTATATTCTGTATTGAAAACTTTGTGAAGTGTGCCATGCAGAGAAAGGCATTTTTAACTATCATCTGAAATAAGATAAGTGCAATTACAGAGAGGGCTGTTCGATCCAGTTCTGATGTTGACCTCTCATTCCTCTTCCCAGAAGTGCTGGTAGAAATGCTTGACAACTGTGTCTGATGGACACACAACTGGAAAAAGCCATATTGTGGGTGTCTATGTGTGTGTGACCCCACTTTCTGCCATGAATCCTGAACCAGTCCAGATCCCTTATCTCTCAGTTAAGTGTATACATCAGTAAGGGTATACCTCCATTTATTTCTGCTTCCTTCCAACATGCTTCCTATTGATATCTGTGCTTATTTGAGTATTCAGCGGAGCTCTCTGTTTTGCCAACCTGAATGCTGAATTCTGCCCCTGCTCTCTCTGCAGCGGTGGTAGTGTTGGTGGTGTCTGTATTTAGGGGTGGCAGTCATTTGACCACTGTGGTTTATGGACAAGTGTTTTACATGCTTTTCTGAGGAAAGAGTTAATTCCAACTGGGGGTTTATGGCAAAAATAGATTATCCATTAGATAAAGACAGTCCTCAATAACCCTCTTCAGCCCCATTAAGTATCACCTGTCAACAGGCTCAGCACTACCTCGGGGCGTGACAACATAATCTCTGTATTTCCATTAGTGGGTTGGGTCAGTTGTATCATTCACATTCGGGATAAGTACCACTCCAAGATGACTTATTTATAAAATAATGTAATTTAAAATAAAAATCCAGAAGGTTTCTGTGTTTAAAGCCATGGATCACCAAAGAAACTGGTCCTATTATCATTTGATTTGCTCTATCAAATTAGACATAATTACACAGAAGTATTTATTTGCTTTTGTTTTTGTTTTTTGAGGCAGAGTTTCACTCTGTTACCCAGGCTGGATTGCAGTGGTCCAATCTCAACTCACTGCAACCTCTGCCTCCATGGTTCAAGTGATTCTTGTGCCTCAGCCTCTCGGGTAGCTGGGATTACAGGCATGCGCCACCTCACCCAGCCAATTTTTTTGTAGTTTTAGTAGAGATGGGGTTTCACCATGCTAGCCAGGCTGGTCTCAAACTCTTGGCCTCAAGTGATCTGCCAGCTTCAATCTCCCAAAGTGCTGGGATTACAGGCATGAGCCACCATGCCTGGCCAGAAGTATTTATTTGACTAGACAACGTATACAGACATGCACACAAAATCATCATGTACAATATTCTCCAAGAAATTAGGGCCTGGGCTAAAATATGTTTTAGGAAGTCTCTGTAGTCTAGAGAACTGTTTCTGAAAAATATACCAAATCTAAAATAACAGCCACTAAGTTGCTTTTGGTTGTCTTGTAAATTGACTTCATTATATATATATATATATATATATATTTTAAATACAATAGTCATTCCTTTTCCGTGGTGGTTTCGCTTTCTGCAGTTTCAGTTACCTACAATTAACCACAGTCCAAAAATAGGTGAATATAGAACGAGATATTTTGAGAGAGATAGAGCACATTTATATAACTTTTATGACACTATATTTTTATAATTATTCTTTTTTATTACTAGTTATTGTTGCTAATCTCTTACTGTGCCTAATTTATAAATTAAACATTATTATAGATATGTATGTATAGGAATAAAAAGTGTATATAGGGTTTAGTACTATCTGCAGTTTCAGGCAGCCTATAGGGATCTTGGAACATATTCCCTACAGATAAGGGGCGACTACTGAAAGGTGATATTGTGTGGGTTTGGCCAAATTAGTGAGTATACTTTTTCACATGAACGAATTTTCCAGATAACTAAGACTTAGTATTGATCCCAGTGGTAATTGCTTATATTAACTATTTTTAAAAGAAACTGTAATTTAATGTATCACATACCTCTTGGCTTTTTGAAACAGAAAATACAGAAACCAAGCTAACCTTTTCTTGATGTCACAGTCTGCCATTATCAATAGCTGTGGCAGAGAGAAAAAGTGCTGGATTTGAAGTTACTTGATACTACGTGCATGTTTACACTCTGCTTCTCTTCACAAAGAATTTGAGGTCAGCTTACAAAATTATATGTAATACAGAAGAAAAGTGACAAATAAGTGAAGGAATCAAGATGAGGAGAAAATACAGGAAAGCAAATACAAAAGCCAGGAAAAATATTAGTGAGCCAGGATCCTGACTTAGCACGCTGGCTGCAAGTGATGGAAATCCAGCTTGAAATTGCCTGAGGACCAATGAAGAATTAATTGCTGCATATAAAATACTGCAGTAGTAAACAATGGCAGAAATGGCCTTGAGGTTGACCAGAAATAGCTTCTGAACACTGTCAGGACTCTCTCTGTAGGTTTCTCATCTCTGTTACTCTGTGCACTGAGTCCTCACTTTTCCATTATTTAAAGGCAAGGAGATGGTCTGACTTACTGGAACATCTGCATTTCTCTACCAGTTCTTTGAGTAGGACCCCACTTGGCACAGCTTGGGTCCCATGGACATCTCTGGACAATTCACTCTGGCTAGGAGGATGTTTATTATGATGGAGCCAGTCTCGTTCCAATGTCATCCCTGTAGTTGAGTAAATGAGTGAACCAGTTTCCTGATCAGGGAAAGGAACGACCCTCAGAGAAAAGCAACAGCCACTATATAAGCATTCTACATGGCCTCATGGAAGCCTAAATATTGGCCCAGATTTTCATTTAAGCTTCCCAGTGTCCAAAAAATGCAGGAAATACAATTGTTTACATGATTCTTGATTTCTGTAACACAACAGGAAAGAGGGGCTTGGGGGAGAGTAGAAAAGAAGAGCTGGTATTTCAAGGGAAGCTCAGCTTTTCCTTGCATTCATACCAGAGATCTCTCCCACCTGGTGGTTCCTGAGTTAGGGAACCATAGAATACGTGAGTGAAGTCAGAATGTGGTATTCTAATTAGCTCTGGCCCCAAACATGGCTTAGAATTTTATTCTTTATGCTGAGCATGGACATACAATTGTTTCTCCTCACCTCTCAGTCCTCTACTTGATCACAGTGGGGTCTTGGCAGCCTGCTTTTGCCAGGAATCAGATCTATCCTTGTTGCAAACCACAGCAAAAATAAACAAACGAAACGACCTGTGTCCTTTGCCCACAGCAGGGAACAGATGTCCACATCCTGGACTCAGGAATTTGCGCAGAAGGAGACACTCCAAGCAGTGCTCCGACACACAAGAGGCCCCAGGAATTCGGAGACCTGAGTAACCCCAAGGAAGCCCTGGCCGCACTCAGGCTGCTGTTTTCAGGCAAAACTAAACAACTCATATCAGTCCAAGCACAAAGGATACTCTCCAAGGATCATGGACATGGAGGTTTGGATTGATTTGCATTCTTTTGCCAAGGAAAGCATTAACTGGCCCTTTGGGAAGCCCACCTAGTCAAAGGCTAAAAGCTTTATTGTGCCTGGAGGACAATCTGCACTTCCGCTCCTTCGGGACTCACCTACTCTCGTGGTAATTCCATGCCAAACCACAACCTCCTAGGAAATGGATCTGACTCTGAGTCAGAGATGCGTTCCAAGTCCTAGGGCTATTGGCCCCGCCAACTTATATCCTCACCCCTTGACTGCCATTTCTCTCTTTTGCCAATACTGACACTAATTGTAGAGTTCCCCAACTCCACGCTGCCACTTGCTTATTTCGTTATTATTGCTCAACCTGTGTGACTATTTTGGAGGACAGAGATTCCTAGGTCTCTGTATCTGGATCTTTCTCTAAGCTGGCAAGTAACCTGCTTTATCTAACCTTCCTACTGTCAGTGACCCAAGCAGTAGAAGTCACCTCCCTAATTGTCTTCTATGAGTTGGAAACCAAATAAAAAGATTTATTAGAAATATGTATAGAGTTAGAGCCTGTGTGTACTGACTGAAGTTCTAAAGGCTCCTCCCATAGTGTGTATGTGTGTGCATATGTGTGTGCGTGTGTGTGTGTGCATCTGTGCGTGTGTTTAAAGGGCTTTTTGAAAACCATCTCTGCCTATTGCAAGCCCTTCCCTCTTATTTCTAATTTCAGGAATACATTTTGGTAAAGTTGCTGGAAGTCTGGCCTGTAGGTAAGTGGGGCATCATTGTTCATAAAAAGACACCAAGTATCCTATGAATCCCAGGCTCTGCATCTCTACAATGACTGGTGGACGTGTTTTGTGAACAGACTGGGAACTCAAATGAATTGTTCCCATGTTCCAGTGAGAAACATCATCACCCTGCTCCCAAACAACATACTATGTGCAAAAGAGAGACAAAGACCTGAAGTTTCTCTTTCCGAGGGTATATTTGTTATGGATTTGGAGAGAGCCACAACCTTTCCTACACATTATTGCTCAGATGAGCTTCCTGCATTCAGAAGAAGGAAGTGGGGGTATGGCAGGTAGTTGCAGAGGTAGGTTTATGCCCAACTGGAATGGGAGTCATCAAATGGCACAGCTGTCCTGGGGCTCCAAACAGCTTCTCATCAGGATTCCCTGGAACTCCCCCAGCTTTGCCTCAGACGTTCCAAGCTCAGTTTTGTATATGCAGTTACATTTCCGCTGCCTTCCTCGGGGGACCAGCTTTAAGTAAAGAGGATGAGAATGTGAAGTTACAGAGCTCAGCTTGCCAATACTCCACCAGAGGAAATCACAGGGCAGAATGACAAGATCACTGCTTGGGGCTTAAGTACAAAGAAACAAGGCTTCCTGCCTGCGCCACTCCCACTCCCAAGGCCCATGCGCCACATGCACACGGTGTGACTTAAGGCAAATTGCTTAATATTTTCAGACCTGTTTGTTCCTCTGTCAAATGAGAATAGCAATGCCCAGCCTCTAGCCAGCTGGGGGCTACAAGAATTAAGCACAAAATGCCAAACACAGTGTCTCATATGTAGTCAGCACTCAATCTTTCAAAATAAAAAGAACAATAATTATATGTCTGCCTAGCTACTTTCAGAGTCAGCTCAGATGGTCCTCTCTCCATAAACCTCTGGTAATTTCTCCACTTGAACGTCTGTGCTCATTCTCTGGTTTTCTTAGCGCTTTGCAGGACCCCAGACAGACACAGTCACATTTTGCTTTGTATTTTTGTTTCTTGGTGTTTGGGTGTGCACGTGTGTGTGTGTCCTGGGGTCTGGGTGTGCATCTATGTTTCTTCTTGGATCTTTTTAGTTGTTAAATCTACTTGTTCCAGATAGGAAATGTGACTTCATCTCTCTCTCTCCATGTGCTCTGTACACAGAGAGGACTTAATAATTTTGTGACAAGTGTATTTATTTACCACCATGTGAGAGCTATTATTGTGTTCCAGGATACTTACTAGGTACTTTATACATGGTATTTTATTTAATCTCCATAACAGCTCTAGGAGATAGATTTTATTAACTGCATCCTTTTAATGACTATTTATATAGTCAATAAGACTATAATGACTTATACTCCTACTGAGCAGATAAGGAAACTGAAGCTCCGAGGAGTTAATAGGACTTGCTCAGTGTTGCACAACTACCAAGTGGTGGCCCTGGGAAGTCTTCTGTGACTCTAATCTAGGCTCTAAAGTCTAATTATCCACTGGCTGTTAAAGTGTGGCCCTCACACAGGCAGCAGCAGCATCACATGGGAAGTGGAAGTGAGAAATGCACATTCTTGGGCCCTAGCTCAGATCTACTGAATCAGAAACTCTGGCAGTGGATTTCAGTCCTCCAGGTGACTCTAATGCACGCTCAGGTTTGAGAAAGGATCCCTGCCCCTAATCCATCAAGCCAGGCCAGGAGAGTGCAATCGTAGAGTCCATGTGTCCTGCCTCTTGAATCCCTGAGTTGAAATCCCAGATCTTTCACTTCTTAACTATACAACTCTGGGAATGGTATTTATCCTTCCTCTGCCATAATCCTCTTATGTGTAAAATGTGAATAATGACAGGACAAACGTTGAGTTGCCAGAGGGATGGAAAATATAAATGCATATAAGACATTTAATCCAACACCTGGCACGCAGTATAAGGACTTGCTAAATGCTATTTGTCATTATTATGATTTAATCATTTTAGATTACTTTTCCAGTGTATTTCCTCACCATCCCACCCAAAGTCTGAACAGTTTTGTTTGTTTGTTTTTTAATAGAAGGAAAGTAACTTGGGTCTGGCCTTGATGAGGCTCCTGAATTTTCCTGCTTGTGATACGGTGGTGTTCTGAAGACTGGCAAGTACCTTTCTTGTTTCTCTGCTGCTATCCTGAAAATGTGACTTGCGTGCATTTGGGAGAAAGGTTTGCTGCCTGGGACAGTGCAACACAAGTTTAGAAGGCAGACTTGAATCTGTCTGCACATTTGGTCAGGTGAGCTTGGGCATGCTCTTTAACATCTGAAACTTTCCTTCTCCTTTTATGCAAAAAAGGAGAAAATCACCTGGGTGCAGGGTGGAGGAGGTAGCACTAATATTTACTGAGCATTTACTATGTCCCAAACATTTCTTCTTCTCAGTGCTTTATATGTGTTCTCTCATGTGAGCCTACAGTTACCTGTGAGATAGATAGTAACATAATCTGGACCTCACAAACAAACTGCCACAGAGAAGTAACTTGTTGAAAGCCACACAAATAAGATTGGAATCCAGGAAATCTGGCTTCTCGGCCACCATTCTTTTTTTTTTTTTTAGATGGAGTCTGGCTCTGTCACCCAGGCTGGAGTGCAGTGGCGAGATCTCGGCTCACTGCAAGCTCCGCCTCCCGGTTTCATGCCATTCTCCTGCTTCAGCCTCCCGAGTAGCTGGGGCTACAGGCGCGCGCCACCACGCCCAACTAATTTTTTGTATTTTTAGTAGAGACAAGGTTTCACCATCTTGGCCAGGATGGTCTTGATTCTTGACCTTGTGATCCACCTGCCTCGGCCTCCCAAAGTGCTGGGATCACAGGCGTGAGCCACTGTGCCTGTCAGCCACCATTCTTAACCATAACTGCCTCAGTATGTTGTTGAGAGAAATAACTAAAAAGATGAACGTTAAACACAAAACAGTGCCAGGCACATGGACGTGCTTATTACATGTAGCTGAAACAACAAATCATCATCATCCTCAGTAGCAATATCAATAATATGGATGGAAGGGCAGTTTTTCCATTTGTTACAGGTGGAATTTAATCTCCTGAGAACCAGGTAAAGAGATCTTCATTTCACCCATAAGTCCAATCAGTACTTGGTGAAGGATTCCTTCTTTCTTCCTCACCTGTCCTCCCCCTAGTGAACCACTGGTGTCATTAAGAAACAGTTAACACACATCATCTTTCTTAGCTATTTTTGCTGCCTGCCATCTGGAGTGCCTCGGCTCTCTTGGATGTGTTCACACTAAATCAGCAGATGAAAGCATTAACTAATTTCTCCATTTCAGATCCGCTCATTTGGGTAACGATGACCTTTAAAACGAGTGTCATCCACCTCATAACCATGTGCCATATGTTGGATGTCGGATAATAAAGCATATTTAAACTTAGCAGGCTCCATAACACCTTATGGCTGGTTGGTGATTAACTAATAACTTCCTTACCAGCATCTTCCCGGTTAAGGCTGACAAAGCGTTTTGTTTGCCACTTAGTGTCCGTTTCCATTGGAACCTTTTCAAACATACTCCTAGAAGACTTGATTGTGCACTGAAGCTTTCTCGTTCACTCTTGGCATATGGGGCCAGCACATTTTCTCCCCCAGATATTTTATTTCATGCAAAAACATAATACCAGACACTGATCCCTGAGTGCCAGACATTGATCCCTGAGTGCCAAGTGCCAAGATCCCATTTACTGTTCACAAAAGCTCCACAGGACAAGGGTTTCTGTGCCCATTTATGTACAGATGAGAGTGAGGGTCAAAGAAACCGAGCAATTAGCGCAAGTTCATGGAAGGGCTGAGATCTGAACCCAGATCTCTTTCCCTAAATGCCATGACTGTATTTTTACTTATTTTTGTTTTTGCTAAAATGCAAGATACCATTTTGGGTGTTTTGTTTTCCTCCCATTCAGGGAATCAAGCTATGCCCTAGTTCATGTCTTCATCAGAATGGGAAGCTTTAAAAGTTAATTCCCAGCCAGGCGCGGTGGCTCACTCCTGTAATCCCAGCACTTTGGGAGGCCGAGTGTATCGGATCACGAGGTCAGGAGTTCGAGACCAGCCTGACGAACATGGTGAAACCCTGACTCTACTAAAAATACAAAAATTAGCCGGGCATTTTGTAATTACGGCCCACCTATAATCCCAGCTACTGGGGAGGCTGAGGCAGAAGAATCGCTTGAACCCGGGAGGTGGAGGTTACAGTGAGCCAAGATTGCACCACTGCCCTCCAGCCTGGGCGACAGAGTGAGACTCTGTCTCGGAAAAAAAAAAAAAAAAGTTAATTCCCAATATTTCATCCAGTCTCCTCCCAGTTTTACCCTTCCATCACTCTGATGGTTCACAGAGATTCTGAAAGTCACCTTGCCTAGGACTAGTGTCCCTTCCTGTAGCTACTCATTCACAACCTCGACCAGTAAGCCACGCTGGACTCTTCTGTGCCCCATGCAATTCCTCAAAAATCTTGTCATTCTATTATATGAACCACAGTAAGAAACACAGATTACACTACTCACCTTTTCTGAACCTTACATTCCTACAGAATATATCTGATCCCAAGGAAAGTAGCTTTCAGTCTTTGGAGGAGGTTTTCAAAAGTGATTACCCAGAATGAAAGGGAATAATGGGAAAAAAGATGTATGTAAATACTTGGTTATTCACGGATGTTGTGACTGAGGAGATGGTTCTCCATCCCTAGCAGAGGATTAATTCTGAAGTTTTTTTTTTTTTTTTTCTATCTAAGTCCCATCCAAGTCAGTGGGACTATTAGGTCCCTTGTGATACATATTAACACTTGGTGAGCATCCTACCTTTGGAACTCTAAATGCCTCAACACACTTGTTATTCTCTTCCTCAAGCTTTTCTATATACATCCCCACAATTGGTTTTACATAAATCGGTATGTAAGACCTGCCACCACCAACAAGATAACGTATGCATCAATCTATATCTTTCCATATTTTTCTCCGTGCTCTTAAAGTGCTGTATAGGCTAACCTGATGGTGTGCTTTTCCTTAGTTGTAATTTGTTTTACAATAATGGCTATTATACACACGTTGTTAAACTTCACTATACTCATTCATTTGAATAATTATTTTTTTCATATTGTGAATATGCCACAATTTATACACCTGTTCACTGATCAGTGGGTATTCTCTTTCCCATCCCCTACTCCCATCATGAGCATTATATATAGGTGCTTTGATTTCCAGGCTCTTGATTCCCAGAAATGAGATTATTACCTCAAAGAATAAATGTTTTTAAAGTTAAATTGCTACTGCTAGATTGTTTTCCAAAGGCAGAAGTTCTTTGAATTTCCGCCAGCAATACTTGAAGTAAACTTTCCCCATATCAAGCAGCCGAAATGGCTATTTCAGTCTGATGGAGGTAAAGTAGTACTTCATTGTTACCTGAATTTTCATTCCGTCATGACTAGTGAATGGAGCACTTTTAAGATATATTTGTTAGCCATTTTGATTTGCACTTCTGTAAATCATATTTTTTGTCCAGTCTTCCTGTTGTACTCTTCGTTTTTTTCTTGGCAACATATAGAAGTATTTGCATACTACAGACATTACGATTTATTATCAATGATGCAATTTGATTTTTCCATCTCTATTAATGTTTATTGGCTTTGTTTCTGCTTTTTGGTTTTTATTGACATACGTAGACTTTACCTTTTAACTTCTGTATTTTCATTATTGATTAAGAATGTGCTACCTTCTAGATTGTAAATGTAGTTTCCTGTACTTTCTGGCAAAATTCTTATTGCTTTTTTGTTGTTGTTTTAAATATAACTCTTTAGTCAAATCTTCTTACATGGTCCTTCTTTGTCATATTTTTTGGATAATTTCAGACATGTATTCTTTGGGATAAAATTTAAGATTTAGAAATTAATCATAGAAACTAGACTAAATATACCTACTGAATTTTACAAATATATTTTCAGCACAACTGGATAATACATATCATTTTTTCTCTTAATTTGTGATACAAATGATTATGATAATAGATTGGTAATATTATACCATCTTTGAATTCCTGAAATATATCTAACTTGACCAATAATTTTATTTTATAAATCTTGGAAAAATTAATTGTAATGCTTACATTTTTAAATTAAAGAGCAAGTTATTTATTTCCATTAGTTTCAATTGCATTTTCTCTTTCAATAAGATACAAGCACTTTCTTGAGAGTTTCTCTGCTATCTTGTACAAGGTATTCCTACATTTGTTTACAATATTAAAAATGAATTATTTTTCCCATTTTAATTTATATATACTGTTTTCTAAAACAGCAGAAGCTATTCTTTCCTTTCATTTTTCACATTATAAAACCTGTTCAATAATTCTGTTTTTTATTCTCTTGTATTTTAAACTACTTTTCAATGAAAGTTATGTTATACCTCTCATTCTTCAATATTTATAATAGCACTTAATTTTCTTGTCATATTGCATATGCTAAAACATTCAAGAGAGAAAAGGTAATAATGGTGATGACAAATATCGCCGTGAAGTTCATGATTTGATTTTGAAGTTGTCTGAATATTTTTCTCTTTGGGATGTATTTGCTACCATTTTTAGTAAACATTATTTATCACATATAGCTGATTTATTTTTCTTATTCCACTGAATTTAGAAAATATATTTTCAAAATGTGGGGATATGATATAATAGATCTTGCTAAACTTACTAATATATTTGATTATGACAACAGACTATTAATGATATATCTAATATATTTCTATCTTTTTAATTATTTGAACTATCCTTGTTAGTTTTAAAGTTAAAAAGTTATGCTTGCTCCATAAAGCAAACTGACATACTTTCCATCTTCTTTCGTAGCCTGAGTTTATTTAAATAACATAAAAATTTTCTGTTCTTCAAAGCCCTTTAATCTTGGTACATTTTTGAATTATATTCACCTTCCCAATTTCTTCTATGTGTTCCTGGGATGGCTATCTTGTGTGTGTGACTGTGTGTATATGTATGTTAACTTTCTCATTTCTACCTTTTAATTTTTTTGTTCTTTTATTAGTTATTGAGGTTATGTCAAAAGACAAAATTACAAGATATTTAGTCATAGATTTAATTGGCTTTTATTTGTGATTCACAAATCAGGGCGGCCTCTATTCTACAAAGTAGAATGAGAACACCCTCTGGGAAATGGCAAAACAGTGGATTTTATAAAGCGGGAGCAAGGATACAAAACAATAGAAAAAAAAGTTGATTGGTTAGCATCAAGTTACTTTAGGTTACTTTTAGGTAAGGGATAAAGCTGAGGACACTTTCTTATTATAGTGCCTCAGGCAGACTAAAATCTGTTGTTTTCGGGGAACACTGATCTGTTTGGGGATCTATCTTTTCTTTCAAGTTTCAGTTTTATTATGTGGCATTTAGCATGAGTGACTTCGGTTTGGTCTGGTCTGTTGGGGTCAAATGCAAGACCTCCTTTCAAAACAATGGCCTCCTGGCCAGGCACGGTGGCTCACACCTGTAATCCCAGAGCTCTGGGAGGCTGAGGCGGGAGGATCATGTGAGGCCAGGAGTTCAAGACCAGCCTAGGCAACATGGTGAAACCCTGTTGTTATTAAAAATACAAAAATTAGCCAGGCATGCTGGCACATGCCTGTAGTCCTAGCTTCTTGGGAAGCTGAGGCACGAGATTTGCTTGAACCCAGGAGGCAGAAGTTGCAGTGAGCAGAGATCACACCACTGTACTCCAATCTGAGTGACAGAGTGAGAGACTGTCTCAAAAAAAAAAAAAGTCCTCCCATAATTTTTGTTTAACAGTTATTACTTAGTCTCCTTTGGTGTTTTTTTTCCACTAATAATTAATTAAGTTTGGCGAGAAAGCTTTTACTGCGTCCTATAATTTTCGTTATAAAGTATTTTTTTCGTTGTTATCCAGATAATCTGCGTTTTTACTTTTATATCTTCTCTGATTTTAGTATCATCAAGGAGGGTATCATTTAATTTCCAAGAAGCTAACATTTTGAATATTGATTGATTTCTTCATCTTAGGATAAGAAACAGAGAATATGACCTTTTTTTAACTTTAAGAAATGCTGCTTATAAATATCCCTATGATGGGCCAAGCATGGTGGCTCACACCTGTAATCCCAGCACTTTGGGAGGCCAAGGTAGGTCGATCACCTGAGGTCGGGAGTTTGAGACCAGCCTAACCAACATGGAGAAACACCGTCTTTACTAAAAATACAAAATTAGCCATTCATGGTGGTGCATGCCTGTAATCCCAGCTACTTTGTGAGCCTGAGGCAGGAGAATCGTTTGAACCCGGGAAGTGGAGGTTGCGGTGAGCTGAGATCGCACCACTGCACTCCAGCCTGGGCAAGAAGAGTGAAACTCTGTCAAAAAAAAAAAAAAAAAAAAAAAGTCCCCATGATGAAGAGCAATGTATATTCTCTATTTTCAGAGTGATGTGTTTATCTGTCTATCTAATCTATTTATCTACCTACTTTACATTTATTTATATCCGTCTGTAGCGTATTTGTTATCTATTGATCTATTTTTGGTTTCATTATCAAAGCATATGTGGGAAATCACCTCCTTTCTGACTCTCAACTATATCCAACCTTGGAGGCAGGGAAGACTTAAGCCACTCATTTAGCTCATAGCACTCAAGGACTTGGGGGTTACCAGTTGCATTCAACTGGGTTGATGTCAGCTCTTCTCCCTGAGATCCTCAGAGCACTAAGTACCAGCTCCTGTCAGTTCTTGTTGATTTCTTATTCATGCCCTGGACCTATTGCTAGTTCCAAGCAGAGAAAGCTCAGCACTAATCTTTTCTCCATGCTGCAAGAATTCCAACAAAAGCAAGGCCTCATGTATATCCAGCTGCCTATGGATCCAGACACTCTACCACTCAGGTGTAGCCTATAAAATTAGAGAGGAACTGAATGGCACTTATATTCCCCAAATCCCCTATAAGTCCATGTCATTAATAACTTTTCTAAGTGAGGTTAAAAGAGAACTACCCAGGACTCTGAGGACTATAACCTGCTTGAGTCCAGCCGTAGCACAGTGGGAACCTCAGTGGAGCTACTGTATAGGTCAAGATAAGGGATCCAGTGGAGAAGGCAGGATGGGAAGACTAGCCAGGCGATAACATCAGTAAGAGGAGTCCAGCAACCCAGGTCACAGTGTCTATGGGAATGGGACAACCTGGAGTGGGAATCAATTATTGCTGATGTCCAAAAATCCTTTGTGGGAGAAGGTGGCACAGTACTAGTCCCAAATTGCTTCTCCAGTTACAGCAGATTATATGCCTGGAGACATAAAGTGATGGGGACAGTACAGCAAATATCCTTTTGTTCCTGACTTTTCTTGACCACTTGTAAAATATATTCCATATTAAAACCAACAGGAATATAGAAAGGAGCAGTAACAGAATTTGCATGAAACATCATTTTAAAACAAGAAGTGTTAAAGAAATTTGGTCATTTCAGTGGACCATTTGGGGCTGTTCTGCCAGATTTCCCAGGCTAAGACTTTTCATTTACTCTCCAAGAGGCGTGAAGAATTTTGAGGAATCCTCATGTTGCTCACCTGCCTTGAAAACCTCATGTAAAATTCTGTCAAAAGGCCCTGTAGGTTTTTTGTTGTAGAATTTATCACAACCTGAACTTACCTAGTATATTAATCTCTTTAGTTCATGGTTTGCTTCTTCCAATTTAAATGTAAGCTCCAGGTAGTCAGGGACTTGCCTGTCTTGTGCACGGAAACACAAAAAGATAATTTCATCCATAACATTGGCCCATTTACCCATCCTGGAGTTCAGGTGAAATGCCTCTGCTGTACACAATCTTCACAACTCTAAAAATGACATTGTCATGGCCATTGTTAGCAGCAAAGGCATTTGGTAAGCAGGCATAAGAATATCATCCAGTGACTGGGATAAAGATAAAGGAAGTTAACCAAGCATGGCAGGATCAGGACTCCCATCCTGGAGTGTACCAATTCACCTGCTTGTAGTTCTCAGTAGGCTTTTCTTAAGATTGACTTGGAGACTAGGTGAGGCCAGTCTTGCTTTAGTTCCTTAATACCTCTACAGAGAGCCTTGAAGCAAAAACAGACTGACACTAGGCATTAGTCCAAGGCCCTGCTGGGATTTGATAGGGCATGAGGGAAGGGAACCTTGATGGCTAACAGGGCCTGCCTATTCCCTCCTACACTGGTTCATAAAAGGAAATGCCACCTAACTTCTGGTGAGAACTGGCTTCCTCCCCACAGCCTCATCTGAAGTATTTAATTAAATCCAATCATACTGAAATGCTGCATTTGAGATTCCACTTTTTACTTCTTCACTCCGTTTCTGGTATAAAGGCGCCCTGGGTTTTATTTAGTCAAATGTCTAACTAGAAATTGCACTTTTCAGAAAAGATAAAAAATAATGATCATCTAATTCCCTATTTTCCACAGAGCCACTTAACTTTCAAGTGCTTAGTAGTAATCAATAAAAGCCTTTCATCACAAAACCCAATAAGCAAGATCAAATTCAAGGGAAAAGCTCAGAAGAGAGCAATGGTTGGCACCCAAACCATTTTATGAGGTCAGAATCACTTTTCTACATGAAGCTAATTTCTACTCATGGCCCAAAGCCATTTCACCTCTTGCACTCTGACTTCTTACTTTCCAAAGCTGACTCCACTGGGCCTGCTAAGAACACAGGTGCTGCTATGAACAGCATCCAGAGAAAACCTCACACTGGAATTGATAGCAGCCATGCTGTGATCCCAGCTCGATGCCCAATTTGAGGGTTACTTCTCGTTCAGGAGAACCTGCAGGCATTGGTTTAGAGAGAGAAGCAGCAGCTGTGAAAGACAATGTGAAGATTCAGAGTCTTTCTGATGGTGTTAAGATGGCATTTGGACCCAGGATTTGGGGGCTTATTCCCTAGACCCTCTCATTTTCCCCCAACCTCTCCAAGGAAGACAAACAAATGGGAAATAGGAGCAAACAAAAGTGGAAGTGTCCTCATTGTCAGCTGGGCTTGAGTCCCACATCTCAGTACAAAAAGTTCTGGTGAGTTGGGTTGTGGTTCAGGGTCAATAATGAATGCCAAAAAGCTGCCTATTCCACCAAGTCCCAACCCAGCTTTCGAACCTTCTCATCCTGCATTCAGACCCCTGAGAAGACAGGACAATGAGAGAAAAAGACCCTGGGTCAACTTGCTGCTCTCACCTCATGACTTTAAAAGAAAGAACACTATGGACATCAGAGAGATACACATTCTTAACACAGGCAGCCATACCCTTGAACGAGTGCCATCCAATCAGGTAATAAGAATTTGCCTATTGATGTTAGGATTCAACTATAACCTCTATGCAAATAACTTTTCTTAAATATAGGTAGCACTTGATGGATACTTATTAATGGATGAGAGAGAGATTACATATATAGATAAATATTCCTCTCATATACTACTTTAAAGCTAAATTGGAAATATTTTTTCACAAGCAAAAAAAACAAAAATTTATTGAAACACATCTGAAACACAATTCATCATTAAATAGATTTCTTTGTATATTATATTTACAAGATACTATCAAAGGTTGTGGAATTATGCCCTAAATAAGAGACCCTCTAACTGTAGGATCAGAAAAAATATATGTAGGTAAAATCTGTTACAATATACATACTGTCACCAAATGAACATGCAAATAGCCCACAGTTGAAGGTCAGATGCCAATATAATATGAAAAGCAATATAGATACTTGGAGAATTTTTTTAAGTTTATTCTCACAGAATTCAGGAATGGGTTATTGAGAATTGTAATACAAAAGACTTGAAAATTATACTAGGTCTTAAGCTAGTTGGAACTGTTTTCTTCTTCAAATAAGGTCTAGAAATCAACAGAAGAGGAAGTAAGCTATGTCCCAATACCTCATACCCAGAAGCTCATCTTGTTTATGACAGAAGAAGCCCATGACTGTGTTGAACTTATCCTATGTTTGCCATTGAGTTCAAAACCCCAGCCTTTGCTGAAGAGGTGGTGGGCTGCATTTCAGCACCTCTCTTAGATGATCAGAACATCCCTGATGCAAATCCACCACAAGCACTAGAATTGGTTTGGAAGCACTTCACTGGTTTCTCTCTGAACTTGAGCCTATGCACCAGATAACCAACATTTTTCACAAAATTGGCACCTCACAAAGTGAAACTCTGGGAATCCCAATTGTAAGAAACCAGAACTATTGGGCTCTCTGACCTCATTAACATATTTACAGCAGTGAGGTTGTCAGTTCCTTAATAATTGCAAAACTTCACGTCACCAGCCTTCCCATGCCCACACCAGACACCAACCAGATGTCCTTGTTCTGACAAATGGCTGTAAAATTGGACTCAGCTGTCTGTAAAGAAGACTTCTATTCCTGGGGCTTTGCCTTGTTCGTGGGCACCTCCTCCCGGTCCTTCCATGTGTCAGACATTTGTTAAGCAAAAAATAAATGAATAAACCAATGAATTACCTTAAAGTCAGTAGGAAGGGCGGAATTCATGGGAAACAAAAAAGAAAGAAAGTGTCCCTTTCTCAGAAAGATGTAGGCCTTTTATTTTGCAGAAGCCGAAGCTGGATGACTTGGTTTTGTAACTGGGCTATACAGTTTCCTTCACACACCATAAAGGACTCAAGTCTCACCAGATCTTATTTTGACTTGAAATGTTTCATGATAGGTTTATGGTATTAATTTCCTCCTGTTATATGCATGGCCCTTATGTGCGTTTTCTTCAGAAGATAAATCAACTTGCTCGGGTGAGACAGACGAGTGTCGTGTATGCGACTTTAAGAAATAATCCTCAACAAACAAACCATAAGGGATTGTGGTCCTCCGTGGAATATCGATTCTGCCACGTTTTAATGCTTAGAGCCACCAGAACACATAAGTAATCTGCTTTTTAAAATAAAAGAGTTTTAATTAAATGATTTCGCAGATCCTTATTGCTGACACCGTCACTTCTATTTCTAATGGATTTTGAGACTTGTTCAGAACTTAATCCTGTTAATAAGATTCGATTTTCTTTTTGCCTTAATAGTGTACTTTGAAATACTTATGATGAAGCCAGGGCATATTTGGTGCGCAGTACTGCTGCAGTTCTGTGTGTAATTTTGGCAAATGAGACTAAGAAGAGAATGACTGGAGAGAGAATGGAGATAACATGTGGAAAGACTGACTCCTCTGCAATTTAGAAAAGAAAATAGGTTGCCGTTTCCTTCTGTATGTCTAGTTCAATCTTGCTCAATCTGTGATGCATGTATTACAAGCAAGGGCCTTTAACCTAAACGGTACCAGCCAACTCCTTCTAAAAAATCTGGCTATTTAATAACTGCATAAATAGCTGTACACTTGATTAAAAAGAAACATAATTAATTGGCATAAAGCCACCCTGCTTGTTCTCCAGATTTTCTTTTGGCGAAATTTTCCTAGTGAGCTTTAATATTCTTTTCTTTTTAAAACCCTTTTTGCCTACCTTAGAGATATAAACTCTATGGCTCTTGAATAGAAACCAGAAACAAATGTGTTTTATTCATTCTTTTGTCATTGATATGCTATTAAGAATCTATTCTGTACAAGAAACTAAAGAGCTTAAAATCCAACCAAAATTTAATTTGGCAATTTTAGAAAAATAGTTTAAAGGGAAGCATGCCCATTGAGGGCTGCTTTAAGCAAAGAAGAGATAGTGTTTGTTCAGCAGATATTCAATGCCATCTATTCCAAGCCACCTATGTATTGACCCTGAAGACATATAGAAATTTGCAATGTGGGCACATGGGGCAAGGAGATAAGTAACCAGGGCACAGATCAGAAGGCAACGTAATGTCATAATAGAGGCAGGCATTGAGGATGTACCTGCATTTAAGGATGCAGTGTGGAAAGCTAATATAAATGAAGATGGTAAGGCTCTTGCATGCCAAGCTAGGAAAACATGGGCTCTCTCCTCTAGACCGTGAGAAATGATGCATTTTGGTAGAGAGGGCAGTAGGAGAAATTTATTGTCATGGCTGGTACTTGAAAACTCCAGTCAAAATTTTGAATGAGAGAATATTTTCTGATACTTTAAAAATACCATTCGCTAACTTTCCCAGAATTATAATATCTGGTTATTGTTGATGCTCTATTGAACTGAAAACTTTCATTAATATTTGTGGTTTCATTTTATAAAATTATCATAACTGATGGATTTACAGTTCTGAAACAGTAACCAAATTTTAATAATGAAGCCATTAATACATACCTTGGCTTGAGGGTATGATATTTGTGACAATGCAATATTTGCTCTGAAAGTAGCAATCCCCAAACTAATATATTTATATATCTCTGTAAGTTGCACAAATGTCTCCCCAGCTAGCAACGCATTGTATTGTCTTGACAATCGGAGTTCTTTCACCAATGTTGTTTATTTCTTCCTCTTTGCAAGGAAAGAAAAAGATGTTTAAAATATATTAAAAAATTAATTATCAAGACGATCTTGAGACACATAAAAATTAATTTAAGAAGGAATTTCAGTTTCCAAAGCTCACTATTTCTGGTATTTTTCTGCAAAGGCTGTGAGTCCAGTGTGTGTGTTTCCTGAGACTCAAAGCAGCATTTACATTTAAATGAAAATGCAGACATACATGTTTGACAAAGACCATATACTTATGCTCCTTAAAACCATTCTTTCATAAAAGGAACAGAAAACACCCTGCTATGCCAATATACCAATTTATTCTTTAAGAAAAATAGCATATTGTGCATCTGTTGGGGATTATATATATATATATATATATATATATATATATATATATATATATATAAAATACATTTTTTTGTTGGATCCATATATTTCCTGAGAATCAGCCTCTTGAAGAAATAAATAGATGAGGGCTGTGTTCTTTTAATTATTGAAAGGTAAAACCCAATAAAACTTGAATGTTTCTCTTGTTCACACCCTACACCTCCCACCTCCATCATTTTTGTTTTCATGAAACTGAGACCCATGTGGTCCAGTGTCTTAGCCTAAATTATGCACAAAATGCCTGAGCTGGGCTTTGAAATTAAATCTCTTAATTCCTTACCAAGTGTTCACTTTTGACATGTTTTTTGCATGCTCACCTAAAATACTTATTGAGAAAATGCTAAAAGTTTCTGAAAAATTTTTTTTAAGAAAAAGATCCTACCCACTCAATATTTCCATGCCTGCTATAAACCAGCCAATGTACTAGGTTTAGGGATATAGGAATTTGAGGATAGGAGGAATTAGTACTAACATCAGAATTAATCCTGAAAAAGTCGGGATATGTAATCACTTCCTTAACACGTGTTTCTGTATTCTAACTCTAATAAATTAACACACATAATATCAGTGTCTGCATTATTATCTGCATTTTACATCATGTGAGACTTGGAGACATCCAGTTGCTTGTCTAATACCACACAGCTAGTAATGTTCAGTGCAGAGATTTGAACTAAGGTCATTTTGCAATCAAAGTCTATCATGATCTTTTTGATACTTGAGGTAATTATTTCTACCCAAAGAACTGTAGCCCAAACCTGTCCTCACAAATCTGCCAACTTCCCGTCCAGCTGTGCAAGTGGCTCCCTTTATTCCTAAAGTCCATATTGATATAATGCAACAACTAATCGAAGCTCTAGGAGCATGCATGATAGTATAAACACCTATTTCCACTTAAAACCTCTTGAGCCTTCAATTTCAAATAGCACAGCAAGATTTGCAGGTACTATGTGAAGATCTTATGGAAATGACTAATGCTGTAATGTTGGTATAAAGCACTTTGGGAAACTCCCAAAGCTAAATTACTCTCCTGACTCAAAAGCCAAACTTCCCTTCCAGGAAGGCTAAATTGTAGTTGAGAATCTACTCATTTCCAACACTTGGGGCCAAGTTCATCCAAGTCAGTTACTTTTGTAAGATGCAAAAATGTTTCCATGAATGCAATCTTTTCAGTTTTGTTTATTTATTCATTTATTTATTAAAACAAATACAAGTACAAAACTAGTGAGGTGGACACTTGGATGGGAAAAAGCCACATCTTCAGTAAAGTATCTGGAACTGAGACAGAAGTGTAGGTGTAAATTTACTTCCTGCTCCATGCCCTGGGGAAGGCAACAGAATGAACATGGATGAATAGGAATCCCAGCTTAGCTACCCACCAGCTGTGAAACTGAGCATCTTCAGATTGAACGCAGAGACTGGCAAGAGTTAGTTTTAAAGGGGCAGAAAACAAACATCAAAGGTAGTGCATATACAGGGATAGATGCCTAATAGCCACCTAGAAGTAAAATTTTCTGTGTAAGAATGGGGGACTAATATGAAATCTAGACAAGTCAAAGTTGGGTTGAGGCAAAACAAGGAAAAGAAATGGAGTGGACCCTGCCCTGGACCCACTCACAGAGTTTTTGCAATCAGTCTTGTTGCCAGTAGCTCTGGTTTCCTTTGGGGCTGTCATAAAGGCACCATTAAGAATTTAAAATTCACTGACAGACATGTCTCAGCATTGGTTCCCCCTAGGCTGTGAACTCTACCAGGGTAGAGAGTTTATGTGCTTTGTCCCTTGTCATGCCCTAGACTTTGATTCCTTGGTTGGCATCAGGCAGGAGTGTCCTAGAGGTAATGGTTAAGGTTATTAATAAAGTCGTTGCTATTTTCCATATTCAGTTTTCTATAATGAACTAATATTTTTTTCTGTCATGGTAGCTTCATTCCACTCTACCTTCTTGGGTGTTTGCATTTATCTGTCAGATCTTGCAGCTGCCTTTGTGGTTTTCATTCATTCTCATCTCAGTTCTTAGCCAGCACCTGATTCCCCTTTCCTGTTCTTCACCTTACTTGGACCATCCCTATGTCCTTCCCCACGGCACTTCAAGTGTCTGAGCCCCAGTTTCTTCCATTTTAAAATAGAAATAACCAAAAGACACAGGGCGATTACATTAAAAGTGTGTGTGGCGTATCCAGCAGGGTATTCAAGAGATACTTATTTACTCTCTTGCTACAAACCTTGTGACTCATAGTGGGCTCCAAAGCCTGTTCTGCTTGGACAAGAGCTGCAGATATCCTTACTTCAGCCTAGAGAAATGTGGTAATGGGAAATAAACATTTGGGTCATGCTTCGTTGTGTAGTTTTTTTATGTGTGGTTCATAAAGGTGATTTTCAGTAATGAAGAGATTCCTGTGAAAACAGAGAAAAGTAGAAATGTGTACCTGCTGAAGTCAAACTGCACTCAGAAGAAAAGCCCATTGCACTTAAGAACAGAAAATTAGTACAGACAAAGCTGAAATGTATTACACTGAGAAAGAGTTAGAAAAAAAATGAAAAAAAGAAAGTTATCTGGACAGAGACAGGCATAAGCAAGAGTTCATGTTCCCAGTGGCCATTATGCTATGAGACTCATAAGGTCAAATTTTACAATTACAAATTTTTGCATAGGTCACTTCTTTCTCATGGGGGATAATTCTTTCTGAGACATGCTCTCTCTTTTACCCTAGCTCTCTGTGGCCTGTCACACTCTTTGGGTGCAACATTACAATTCAGCAATGTAAGAGATTCTAAATTTGACCTAAGCCTTGACAAAATTAAATGTGCCCTAGCTAACTAAAAATCAAAGTAAGTTTTCCATTGCTCCTTTCAGATATTTGTGATTTTATGGGGAAATGAACATATGAATAACGAAACTATTTATGTATCTCAAAATTGGCTAACCTCACCCGCCTACATATCCAAACATAATAATAGATAGCTTTAACAGTAGGCAACAAAAAAGTAAGTGATATGAATAGAAATGTATGGAATCAAATTGTATGCGATACGCATACATCAATTCAATCCGTAGTTGAATGGCTGAATGTGCTTTCTGTAAAGTCGGATTTATTCAAGCAGTACAAACTTTTGCTCTCAAAAGATTAGGCTAACCATATTATTGAAAGATGGCCTAGCCCAGAAGTTGAGAAGAAAAGAGAGAGATTAAGAAAAAGGGGGACTGAGTTTGAGGCTGCAGTGAGCTACGCGTGTGCCATGCCACTGCACTCCAGACTGGGCAACAGAACAAGACCCCTTCCTTAAGAAGAAAAAAGAAAGAAAGGAAGATAGAAAGGAGAGAAATGAAGGAAGGAAGGAAGGAAGAAAGGAAGGAAGGAGGAAAGGAGGGAGGGAGTGAGGGAGGGAAGGAGGGAGGGAGGAAGGGAGGGAGGGAAGGAAGGAAGGAAGGAAGGAAGGGAGGGAGGGAGGGAGGGATAAAGGGAGAGAAGACCCCACTAGATGATCAGCCAGTATATTCAAAGAAAAGGTAAGAATGACCATGAGCAATGACTCAATAATCCTTTTTTTTTTTCTTTTTTTTTTGATATGGAGTTTTGCTCTTGTCGCCCAGGCTGGAGTGCAGTGGCGCAATCGCAGCTCATCACAACCTCCACTTCCCGGGTTCAAGTGATTCTCCTGCCTCAGCCTCCTGAGTAGCTGGGATTACAGGCATGCACCACCACACCTGGCTAATTTTGTATTTTTAGTAGAGATGGGGTTTTTCCATGTGGGTCAGGCTAGTCACAAACTCCTGACCTCAGGTGATCCACCCACCTCGGCCTCCCAAAGTGCTGGGATTACAGGCATGAGCCACCGTGCCTAGCCAATAATTCATTCTTAGTGCAGGCCTCAGACTGATATCTGATATCCCTAAGTATCTGTTGTCATCTTTTCGGTCTCCTACTCAGTAACCTTCATTATTTCCCTATAACATACAGTTACCAGGTTGGGAAAGACCAACCTGGTAACTTGGCATTCAAGACCCTCGCCAGTCTGTCTCAGCCTCCCCGTTTACACTTACTATTCATTCCTTATGGTTAAAATCCAGCACTTACCCAATCATGCCTGAAGCTTGTCTCTTGTGGCATTCCTTGATGAGTGTCTATTCCATTGCCTTTCCCACCTCAGTGTCTATCTTGGCTCCTCTTTAACTAACTCAACCCTACCCTTCCTGCAAGACTCAGAATTGGTCCTCTGTATTCTGAAACCTTTCTTGCCCTGGTCCTTCCCAGCCCACATCATCCTTGGTGCTGCTTCCACAGCCTGATGGGAAACCCTAACTGCAGCACCCCATCTCTGTAACACTATGGGTGTGAGTCACAGAGCACCAGGCACAGTAGTACTCAACAAATACCAGCTGAAATGCCAATTACTAATATATATTCTCCTGAAGATGAGCTGTGAGCTCTGTAGGCAGGGGTTGTGTGTTAAGACAGCTATTTATTCAGATAAAGGTGTTCAATCCCTGTGAGCCAGGAGGTTCACCTCTCAGAGATTAAAAATGAGGCGCAGACGGAGCATGGTCTTGTCCAGTCTTATAGAGTTGGCGACCTTGTTCTGTCTGATTCCACTGCACAGGCAGATTCCACTTCAGCGTACTCTCTCAATATAGCTCATATTTAGTTTTTTGACTAGGACACCATAAGATTGTTTAAAGAGGCACAGTAGCTAAAAGTCTAGGCTATGTAGTCATCCATATCTTGGTGACTCCTCCATTACAGGGTGTGACTTGGGGGTGCCTGACTTATCCAACTTAACCCCAACACCTCTTGGATATGGGATAATATGAAATCTCACATTAGAGTTGTGAAAATCAAAAAAGATAACACAAAGACTCATGGCAAATACCGTAACTCCTTTGCATATTGGTTCCGAATTTTTGTTTCCTGGTATCCCCTTAATAATTCTGATGAACCCATCTGTGCAAACAGAAAATGCTGAATTGCTAGGTTCATGGATCACCTCTTCAAAATACATTTTAATAAGGAGATAGGAGAATTACATAGGAAGTTTACTGAAAAGGGAGATTTCTCAAAGCCCTTTTGTGTCAGTTAGGCTAGAGTTAGTCCAGGAATCTGTATTTTTAACAAATACTCCAGCTGAGTCTGATGCAGAAGTCTAGGAACAAACTTGACCTAGTAGATACTTGCTCTAAGATTGGAAAGTTACACCATCGTATTTAGGATCATTTGACATATATACTTTTTATTACCAAACTGATTCTTTCTGTGTGTATGTCATTGTAGTGATGTGAAATTCACATAGATCAAGTTACAGAAACTTAATGTTTAGATACACATATCAAATTATGTACATGTCAAATCAAGGCATAAATCATTTCCATGGCTCCAGAAAGTTTCCTTATGCCTCTTCCCAGTTAATATCATCCCCCTTAATTAACCACTGTTTTTAACATGTATCATCATAGCCTAGTTTTTCCTGTTATTGAACTCAATATAAATGGAATAAAGCGGTATGTATTCCCAGGTACGCAGGTGTTCTCAACATTACATTTGTGAGTGTCATTTATGATGTTTTGACATAATATACATTAAATCTCTCAAACAAGCTTTCTGTCTTTTCCCTGATGAAAGCTACCTTCCTCTGCAGTATCTAGAATTGCCTAGAGGGACTGACCTTTCTGATTCTTGAAAACCACAGCACACAGCCCACAAGTTCCAGGCTGACTCACCCAGCAAGTTTCAAATGTGACCTTTGGGAAATGATGCCTCCTCTGACACAAGCACATGTTTTTTCTATCCAGGCCAATATTTTACATTCAATACTGAGAGTAGGCATGAGGGGGGAGGCGTGTCCTGGCCACCATCTATAATTAAAGATGACATTTTTCTGAACTTGGAAAATAAACAACAACGTGCAGACTGAATCAGGGCAGAGAGCACCATCGATGAAACAGGCGAAAAAAGGAGCAGCCCATTTTTAAATCACATACCCCCTTGAATTACATTAGTAATTCAGTGTGTCATCCGTTATTCAGCCAATTTTATAGAAATTATAGAGAGATTCAGTCCTAATTAAGAATAATCTGATGGTCGGGCTTGACCCAGTTAAATTCTTATCTTTATGACGTCAATCTTTTATAATGCTTCCAGAAGCCTTGGCAAAGCCTCCAATTTTATAAGTAAAAATTAATTAATTGGGACATTAAATTTGAAAGATGCTTTTATCTTTTCCCTGGTTCATGCCTTCACAACAGAAAGCAATAATTAACAGTTTTATTCAAATATATAAAATAATTCCTTGAAGATTTCTAACCACTTTAAGTACTGCAGGAATCAAATGATATGATGTCTAGATATCAACAGACAAAAGAAACTGATTTTTTTTTGCAATTATTTTATTGAGAGAGTTCTTGGTGATCACTTTCACTGGAGTAAGACAGATGGCCTGTTGTGAAGTTGACTTGGCACCAAAGTCTGCTGAAAAAAAAAAATCTAACACAATTTTTCAAGAAAAGTTTTCTTTTGTAGCTTTTTCTCTGGAAAATTATCCTACCTTAACTCACCTAATTACAATAACATACACACAGAAAGAATCAGTTTGGTAATAAAAAGTAGATATATCAAATGATCCTAAATACGATGGAGTAACTTTCCATTCTTAGAGTAAGTATCTACTAGGTCATGTTTGTTCCCGAGTTTGTTCCCTAATAAGAAAATAAATTCTTAGCCCACATCTAGAAATTACCATTTGAACGCATTGTCATAAAATTAGTATGGGGTTTAGTTTTCTATGTAGGTTCCATTTATTTGTTCATTCATTCATCATTACTTTTTTGAGTACCGCACATTTGGAAGAGAAAGATTAAGGAAACCACATGAACTCCAGGAGGTTAACAAGGATTCCTGGTGGAATGAGTCACTTCACCTGATGGAGACTGGCGGATCAGGCTGAAGAGCAGCCCCACTTGGTGTGCCCCAGCACTGTGACCTGCTTGAAAGTTTTATTAAAAACTTGGAAGGAGCTGGAGAAGATGAAGTGATTCTTTCAGATGGACTATTCAGATAACATGAATTGAATAATAACAAGAAACTAAGCAGACAGGAGAAAGCCAACTTATATTTCTGAGTAGGGATGGTGGCAGGCAGTACAGTACACCTTTCCACAAATTCTAGTTTCTTGCTACAGAAAGGGGAAATGTGGGTTTAGGGTAGTTAAGTAGTTTGCTCCAGGTGGCACTGAAGTACATATTAAAGCTGGCCACCTTCTCAAGTATGTCTGTGGGGCAATTTTATTTCTTCTTTTTTATTTTATTTTGTATTTATTTATTTTTAGAGATAGGACCTTACTATGTTGTCCAGGCTGGTCTTGAACTCCTGGGCTCAAGCAATCCTCTCATCTCCACCTCCCAAATTGCTGGAATTACAAGCATGAGCCATGACACCTGGCCTGTGGGGTAGTTTTAAAATATGGTCATAAATCCTTTGATACACGTCATATTATTACATGGGGTGTATGTCCCTGTCACTTGAGTGTGGGTTGAGCTTAGTGACCAAGGTGGATCAATGAAGTGTGGTAGAAGTGACACTGTGTAACTTCTCAGGTGAAGTTAGGGAAGGTCACACAGCTTCTCTCTAGTTCCTCTGGGGCACTTGCCCTTGGTACCCAGACATCATGCTGTGAAGAAGCCACAAAAGCCCATGGAGAGACTCATGTTGAGAGAAACCAGAGCCCATGGCCCTGACCCACAGTCCCATCCACGCTCTTAGCTAACAGAACCAACTGGCCAGCCATGTGAATGAGCTACTTTGAAAGCGGATCTCCCACTCCCTAAGCGAATCTGTCCTGCTGAATACAAATGAAACAGAGATAAAATATTGTTCTTGAGCCCTGCCCAAATGGTAGATCCAAGAGTAGAATGAATAACCGTTGCTATTTTAAGCCACTAAGTTTTGGTATGGTTAGCTATGCAGCGTAGGTAGCTCTATATTTACACTACTTCCATGTCTGTATATTGTCTCCTGGAAAGGAGTGGCAACCCTTTAGAGGCATGGGCAGAGAATACGGTTCACATTGGTAGGAGTACACGTGAAAGTGTTCAGTATCAACTGCATGAGGTTGAGCTCTAGGAGAACAGAGTCTGGGCATTTAACTTGGATCTTTCAATTGAGTCCACAGGTCAACTGAAGAAGAAGCTCAGCAGAAGGTACATGTGGATCTTCAAATGCCAGGTTTGCAAATCCCATCTCATCCTCATCATAGCCAGCATATTATTCTCGGTTCTTGGAGCCACGATCAAACAAACAAAAAAAACTTTGAAAAAGTTGACCTGTATTCCAGGAAGGTCAATCAAATGATGATGGTCTAAACGTTGTGTCCTACATAGAAGAGATAATGGTACCACTAACATCCAGCCAGCCAGAACCAGGGAAGTGTGGACCAAAGTGTAAGAATAAGAGCCAAGATTCAGTACAAAGATTCAGTGACTATGTAAGGAGAAAATACCCACTCTGAAGTCAGATGACAAGGTTAATCATCTCTTGAGCCCTGTGATTTCTGGAAAGTCCTAAGCTCCCAGTCTCTTTACACAATTGCAAAAGAAAACAGATAATATCTACTATCTTCATAGGCCTAGGCGCAATACTAGAATTATTGAAGATAACTTGCGTAAAAGAATATCGTATGGGGGACTCTCAATATTTACTCACTGGTAAAGTCAGAGTCTCAGGGGATCAGGGTTTTGCTTTATTTTAAAAGCAGACGTCCATCAATGGAATGCTTGCCTTGGAAAATAGCAAGTCCCTATCTTAAAGTTTTCTTCCTAAAGCTGGATGGTTGTTCTTCAGGGAATTAGGAGGGTATCCACAGGGACCTCTGAGTTCCTTTTGGTCCCTAAGGAATTGCATTGACAGCTCCTTTCTGCAGGTCCAGTGCTGTGTTCTTTAATGGTCTGTGTCTTCTAGAAGCCCAGCACAGACCAGCTTTCACACAAATAAACATTAGCATTTCTCTAACACAAGAGAAATCTAAGTGAATTAGATGGCCGGAGGATTACTCTCATTCAGCCTTTGAGGTTTTGCATTCAACTCTCCTCTCTCCCCTCCACCACCAATATAGAACTCTTGGTGGAGATTTAGAATATTTTCAAAATTCATGTATTCAGAAAATGTTGTCTGTCAGACAAATGCTTGCACATTAAAGGAACTATGAACATTTAATATTCTACACCAAATGCTGAAACCAAAATTCAAGGGCATTTTGTCCTTTGAATCAGAGATGCTGTCATGCATCTTCCTCCCTCTTCTACTGTTGTGTCTAGAGTTAGCATTAAAGAGCAGCAGCTAGTTTTTGATGGGATTTAGTTTGGATTTCCAGCTTATCCCTTACTAACTCTGCAATCTTGGGCAAGTCACTTAACCTCTCTGAACTCAAGTCTCTGAATACAAAATGGAAGTAGTAACACTTTCCTCCTGGGGATGTTGTGAGAATTAAATAAGATAAAATGTGTGCCTCTGCCTGGGGCAAATAGGAAATTAATACATATTTGCTTCTTTCCTGCTGTTTCATTTCTTTAGGCTGCTTCCATGAAACAGAGAGGGAAGCATCATTCCCTCCTTTCTTTCTGTCTTTCTGAGATAGATATCTGAAATGTAGTTACCAGGAAAAATGGCACTTGGGGGCTAGAGTCTTTATAGAAGAGAGAAATCCAACTCCTTTCACTTTCATTTTTTTTTCCTATTTATTTTCCGGAAAGCAGTGTCTGTTAGTCGTCATCTCAATGCCCATTCTCTCTGAACTCCTTAATATCAGAACTCCGATTTGTGGTCGGAGGGAATCATTGCCTTCTGTCTTAGTCCCTTCTGGACGCCACAACAAAAAACCATAGACTGGGTAGCTTATAAACAACAGAAACTTATCTCACATTTCTGAAAGCTGAGAAGTCCAAGATCAAGGCTCCAGCAGATTCCATGTCTGGTGAGCGTCTGCTTCCTCACAGAGAGAGCCTTCTCACAATGTCTCCACAAAGTGGAAGGGGCAAATGAGCTCTCTAGGGCCTCTTTTTTTTTTTTTATAAGGGCACTAATCTCATTCAAGTGGGCTCTGCCCTTTATGGTCTAAGCTCTCAAAAGTCTCACTTCCTAATACATTTACCTTGGGGTTTAGGACTTCAATATAACAAATTTTGGAAGGGAGCAAACATTCAAAACATTGCACTCCCTTATAAAAAAACAAAACAAAAAACAAACAAACAAAAAAAACACTAGATTTTTCAACCTCCCTTTTAGCCAAGCATTGCTGTGTGCTTACATTCTGTCCAAAGAGGTGTACATGGAAATGACACAGATCAATTCCTGCCTAGAGGGAGCCACCTTGGCTGGGGGATGCCGCCATCTTGCTCTCTTGCCTTTGCTCGTTCTCTCAGCCTGAAATGTGTCCTTGTGGACTACAGTGCCAGTCACAATCATAGATCATAAAGTGACCTTGAAGATGTGATGGAACAAAAATATAGGACCCTGGGTCTCTGTAGACCCAAGGAAAGGAGACTCCAGGACCACCTTACACTGCCAATGTTAACACTTCTTTCACTAAGGAGCCAGATAAGGTACTACCTTGGGTTAAGCTGTTGTTGTCATGTTTCCCTTTTGCACACAGCCAAGTCGAATTCTGAGATACACGAGAGAGGTCCCAAGGAGAAGAAGGGGATTGGAAGTGAAGCTCCTGCTCCACTCTCCCTCTGGAAGAGTCAGGCAGCTTTCCTCATAGGGGGTCATGGGGAGCAGTCTGTGTAGGGCACATAGGCAGGCAGGATTCAAAGATGGTAGTTTCTTGCACCACCTTCTTAAAAGCAGGAAAAATATGACCTGCTTTTAAGAGAGAAATTATAGGGGATTTAATAGAGGTCCTTTTCTTTCCCCTTTCCTTCCTTCCCAAGTATCTTTGACCATCTGCTATGTGATAGTTAGTGAGACAGGCACTGAGGATAATGAATCTTGGTCTCAAATCAATCCCCAGTGGGTGGAGGCAGACAACTCAAACATACATCAAGAACTGTCACAGGATACGGATGCTCCTGTGGATGCTGTCCATGTGCAGATCTACAGCAACTCATCCAGCTTGGGTTGGGGAAAGGGAATTCAGGAAGGCTTTGCCAGGGAGGCAATTGGGCTGGGTATGAAAAGGTGATGGGTTTCAGCCAGAGAAAGAGAGGATCTGCATCCCTGACTGCATTTCCCACACCCGGCTGCTGAGTCCCATAACTTCTCTGCAGTCCGGTGTTTATCCACATCAGCCACAATTTAAACCTGGCTCAGAGGCCACTCAAAATCTCAGCCACTCAGTGTTGGATGAAGACAAGTGAACACTTTGGGAAATATGCATGAGGTAATTGCCAGTTTAATCTCAACAGCCTTGTAATTTGGGAAGCAATCTTCCATGTAACTGGCAAATTAGCTGGAGAATTGCTCCCATCCGTCCTGTGGTAGGTGGGGGCAAGTGCTTAGGGCACAGGAACCAGACAGAGGCTTCAAGGGCCCTCCCAACATGGTGTCTGTGGTCTCAGTAGGCAGTCTGAGCCCTATGGCCAAGGCGGCCAGGGCAGGAGAAGCGCCCAAATGGGCGAAGTGGGGATAATCAGGCAAGATTGCATCGGCTCTTAAAAGCTATATCTATATACATCTATCTATCTATCTATCTATATCTATATCTATATATATATATTTACTACATGTCTGTAGGAAATGAACAGAAACATCACAGGAAGCAAGGGTTGAGGGAGGCAATTATGGAGCACCTACTATATGCCAGACAATTATTTTAGGCATTTAACATCCATCGTCTTATTGAATCCTCACATGAACACTTTTTAAAAATATATTAGAACTCATATTTCATAAATAAAAGTATGAAGAAACCTCAAGAATAACAAAAGCCTGCCCATGTTCACATTGACACACTAGAAGATTCAGGATTCCACTTCAACCGACCTGTCCCAAGCCCACATCAGAGGCTGTCCCTCACAACAGAGTGCATTCCATACCAGGGTCCAATTCAAATCAGCTCCATGGGGCACAGACCACACTTTTATGAGTGAAGATAGGGCAAGTTGGAGGCTAATAATGAAGATAGATCAGCTGTTATTTCTCAGTGTCTCTGTGCCAGGAGATACGGAGACGTTTTCCTTGGTAAAGAACAGCTACTCAGCAAGATGTATTTGCTGTAGATGTTTTATAGTCCCTTCCCAAAGGGACATAAGTAGTTTCTGGTCTCTAACTAGGAGAACTAATTATGTGTGTTCCCTGTTTTTTCTCTGCCCAACAACATTTGCCAAGCTGTTTGCTAGTTACCCCAGAACAACAGGTTCTCAAAAGAAACTAAAAAGTTATCTGTTATCTAGGTACCATTTCATCCTAACACTCTGGCTTAGAGTAGAAAACAGAAACACAACATATATCCTCAGTCAATGGGCAACCAAACAGACGACTTGGCACAGAACAGGGAAAGGGACAGAAAGATCCTCTCTAAGCCACAGGAAACACATAAACAAAAACAAAACTCAGTATCACTGTCAAACACTCCTGGGTGCCTCCCTGAAGGAGAAAAACTCGCACTCCATGTTTGGCTGTGTTATATACTTGAAAGCTTTCTTTCCTTTACCCCTAAATTATCCAGAGCTATTTCATTTCTCTTCCTGAGAGCAATCTTGACAACTCCCTCGGCACCTGGAAGATGGCTGGGTATGTATGGAGAACATGGAATTTGAAATCATTAGACAGAGATTAGATCTGGCCAGCCACTTGCTACCTGTGTGACTTCAGGCGATTCAACCTGGGAGTCTCACAAGGTTATGGAGACGAGCAAATCAGAAATATGTGTACAAGCATTTTTGCAACCTGTCAGGCTGTCTATAATTTTTTTAAGTAAATATTGGCATGTAGATTGTGAAAGTCACTGTAGAATGTTAATGATAAATAGAATCACACTACCCAATCATTGAGCACCTATATTTGCCTTGTATTGGGCCAAAAGCCTCCCCTCCTCCCAGGAGGGTGCCATTTGCATACCCGTTTCACGGATGAGCATACTGAAACTCAGAGAAGATGATTCACTCAATAGTTACAGAGCTAGTAAAGGAGAGAGTTAGGATTCAGATCCTAGTTTGTCTGACCTCAAGGCCCAAGCATTTTTCTGCTGTACCACACTAATATTTTCATCACAATTCAAATACAAATCCAATGTCAGCTGACACCAGTGACATATTATGAAACAAATGATGCTGAATGCCATCAGCAACTCTCAACAGCTGGCTCATTTCCCGACTATGGCACACTGCTCAGATTGCATGGAGGCTGGGATTGATGCTCTTTATTTGTCCATCTCCTGTCCAAATGCCACCCTTTGAAGTAAGGTCACCTCCACCGCAATGGACACAAGAAGAAAACCAACAAGGACATTGGCCCTGTAAGGAAATTTTAGCTTGAATTCTGAACTTTTTTCCTTCTCACAGGCTCTACAAATGGCTACACTTAAAACTCTCAGATTTAAAATGCAATCATTACGAACAGAGACAAAAATGAGTACTTGCAATAACTGGTGATGTCAAAGACAATCTGTAGACTGGTAATTATATTGGACCAATATCAATTTCCTGGTTTGTATCATCCACAACAGTTACGTAAGATGCCACCAAAGAGGGAAACTAGGTGATGTATACATGGGATCTCTCTGTACTATTTTTGCAACTTCTTGTGAGTCTATAATGCATTCAACATAAAAGTCTTGACAGATGTCTTCAGTGAGGTCACTTCACTCAATGAAGTAGGGCACCCCTCACCTCCAGAAGATCGCACGCATGTGGCATGATTTCTTTTCTTCCCCCTTTACATATATTGAGTGACCAATGTGTGCCAGACATCCCAGTGGGCAGCTACCCCCTGTTATTTTATTTAATCTCCAGGATAATTCTGTGAGGACAGCATTGTCAGAGCAATATATAAACAGAGACATCATGGATGGAGATCGTACAATCAATAAATGTCCAACTCTGGCTCCTTGGAGAGGAATCCAGTGTCCTTTCCACAATCGCAAGCTAGTTTCAATGAATATTTGATGAGTACGTACTATGTGTTGAAATTATGACATGCATCCTGGAAGGCAAAATGAGGTATAAGGCTATTTCTTAGCATTTAACGTAGCTAAATGTGGAAGACAACAGAATATTCCGAAAAGTGCATCATGTGAGAAAGTGGAAGAAAAGTAGGAACGTAACTCAAGGATTTTGATTCTAGCCTATGCTCCACTTCTGACTATCTATAAGACCTTGACCCTGTTTGCTAAACCTCACTGAGAGGCTGTTCTCTCATTTGCAAAGTCCCTGAGGTTCCTGCCAGCTCCGATCTGTGGTTCTTTACCTACGCATGCCAGAGTGACAGCCCCAAGTGGTCTGGGCTATGATGATCCAAGAAAGTGATGTGGGCAGAAGGAACTCATGGGAGAAAAGTGACCCCAGTGGACACAGGTGCTCAGGGAAGGTGGCTTGGGAAGATCTGGCCTGCAACTGTCTCTGAAATTGGGAAAGATTTTTATAGTGTGAGAAGGGGACATTTCAGGCACAGAATTCTCCTAGAGTTGGTACTATGACTACTCGGTACTCTTAGGAGCATCACAGAGATTGAGAATGAGTTTATCTGGAATGCTCCAGAAAAGGTGACTTGAAGTGAAACCCCAATTCACTCAAAAAACCACCTAAGTCTATTAACAATTTTCTTTGTTGACATGCCCTACATAAACAAAGCAGCTTGCTTGACTTGAAGAGACTGCTTAGTCAAGACCACTGTTGTAGACATCTATAGTTCTCAATCAGCAGACATATCCCTCCTTTCTCTTCCTAACAGTGCCCCATTTTTTCATCAAGCATTCACCAATTCCTGGAAGCCCACAGGCTCACTCACTCTGAGCTCCAGGGTTGGTCCCTACTGGTACACTACACAAGCACAGCACATTTACCAGACAGTGGTAAATGATAAACAACAATAATTGTTTTCCTGGCAAACTTATGACCTGAGATAATTCACATGAGACTTGAAATTCTGTTTCTTGGTAGGGGGGAAATTTAGTCTTTTGTTTGTGGAGAGAAGAAATGTGTGGCTTCAAGAACTCAGAAAATATTTTGTAATCAGGATGAGCCAACATTAATTTCAAACTAAAACCACAAAGGCAGAGCAGAGACATGGGAGTAAAAAAATGTGTTTGGTGAATTGTTTAAACTGCTGGATCAAACTTAACCTGAAGCTCATAACCTCTGAACTTTCCAGTTATTTGCTTTAAAAAGTCTCCTATATTTTCAATCATTTAACGTTGGACTTTCTCATACGTGGAACATAGAGTCAAATTAACAGGCATAAATATATTTAGTCATCTTTATGAGGCTTAAGGAACCCTGGGAAGGCTTAAGAACACAGAATAGCAATGTTGAGAATCCTGACTTGGTCCAAAGTCCTAGTTTACCAGTCAAGCAAAATTAAAGCTGTGTTCAACTTCACCAAAATTCGTCAATCTCATATTTGAACTTACCGAATAGTCTGTGACTTTGATGTTACTTTTACCCTCTGAAGACTGATCTGCTTCCCTGCCCCCAACCCCATTTTGATTTGACTGGCCCAGTCCCCTTCACCAATCTCAAAATATCATAGGCACCTTGATTTTGGTACTTAAAACACTGTTTTGACATCTTTGATTATCTCCAATGTCCTATTGCTAGATTCTGAACTTTTAGAAGTCAGGGATATTTCCTTGATGTCATTGTATTCCAGGTAACTGTGTAGAATTTGGTCCATGACTATTTGTGGAATATATGGAAGAATAGAAGAGTAAGCTATAACACATATAGGTAGCTTGTTAGTAAGAAACCTATGGATAGCTCACCAGAGAGACAGAGGATACAGCTGTTATAGTTTTAGGGGTCACCACATGAGGCTTATGCTGTTCCCAGAGGCCCACCTCTGCAGGTCATTTCAGTTACCTGGCCTGTCAGGTGCATAACGGGAAGTACAAATGGTAGGAGCTGAAGGTAAGTAAAAAGCCTTTCAACAGGCAGAGTTACACCAGAGATTTGTGCAGCAATTTTCAAAGTGAAATAGAAGGGGAAATGGATGAGATAAAATATAAAATCAAAGAGGAAAAAAGTTTTCCTTCATATTGTGTGGACTCTTGCAGTTACTGTTATTGCCAAGTGAATGTTCCCATTTTTTCGGAAGAGTCATATAGTACTGGAATGTCACCGAGCTGCAATTTGATCAGCATTAAGTGATGCTGTTGAGTTTGGGGTCCAGAATGGAATTTTAACAGGAATAATAAAATAGCAGCCATGGAGCTTTTCTAACTTCAGAAAGTGAAATATTGACCCTGAAGTTGAAAATGTGGCTCCAAGATCATCACTGTACAATTATCCAGGTTTCTAGTGATCAAAAGAAGCCCCAGAACAGTTGATGAATCTTGGGTGCAATCTAAACCATATTTTTAATGTGTTTTATCAATACTGAGACATATCTGACATCGTTTATTTTTCCTTTCACATTTTAGCATTTTTGAAATCAGAATGCTATTGACTTGGCAGACAGAAACCTTAATGTAGTTGTCATCACCTGTATATATGCGTGAGAGTTGCAGAATGATTAGTTGCTTGGGCGGGGGCAAAAAATCCCCATTACAATAATGGGACACTGTCTTGAGAAATGCTATTTAACTAGTGGTCTTGGTATGGGAAAAACCGGTTATCAACAGCTCTGAGTTGAAAAGTGACGCTGAAAGTTTCAACTCTGAAGATGAAGAAGTTGCATTAATACTTTAGCCAATTTATTTCAGTTTTAAAACTAATGCATGAATTATAGATGACAAAATTGATGTCTGTATAAGTCTAAAGTCAAATTGATGTCTAAATAAGTCTAGTGAGTTTTAAAAACTCAAAATGATAAGAATCATTATGTCATAGTTTAATTGGCAAGAATTTTCTTTTTTAGTTGTACATATAATAATGTCACACCTTAAAATTTATAAGATACAATGAAATAAGTTGTGTTATGGGTTCAAGGGCTAGAATTCAAGTTTATAAAACACATCCCCAATCAGTTATGCAAAACCAGGTAAAAGGGGTGACTTACAAATGTTTTCTACAGATAATTACTGTCTAATTAGAAAGATAATTTAAAAAATTTCCATTTCTTTTGAAAATAGAAATTTAAATGGTACAGGGCAAAAGTGGAGATAACTCATGTTTCATAGAAAACTCCAATGAAAAGTTAATAATAATTTGATGGATGCATCTCTATTGTCCTCTGACCACATTCATGCCTCTGCTGGAAGAAGCAGTCGGTGGTTTCACTAACTAGAATTGCCTTTGAATCAGAATCTTTGGCCAGGTGCAGTGGCTCATGCCTGTAATCCCAATACTTTGGGAGGCCGAGGCAGGTGGATCACCTGAGGTCAGGAGTTCAAGACCAGACTGGCCAACATGGTGAAACCCCGTCTCTACTAAAAATACAAAAAGTAGCCAGGCGTGTTGGCATGTGCCTGTAATCGCAGCTACTTGGGAGGCTGAGGTAGGAGAATCACTTGAACCCAGGAGACGGAGGTTGCAGTGAGCCATTGCACTCCAGCCTGGGCGACAAGAGCAAAACTTTGTCTCAAAAAATAATAATAAGAAGAAATAATTTTAAAAAATGAATCAGAGTCTTCAAGTTTCAAAGGTGGAAAGACACCCAGAGCTTTTCCATTTACAGGTGAAGCAACTGCCTGAAGGTTGGTTCTGATGCTCAAATGACTTAAAAAATTGTCTTCAACCTAAGACTAGTGGTTACATAATGAAAAACATGAAAGAAAAACAGGAGAACAAAAATATCAGCTAAATAATGAATCAGCAAATGACCTCAACATCCATTGAGTGTCTTCTGGTGGTAGGTACCTTGCCTAGAATAGCTCAGATAACAAAACACTCACAAACTCTATTGCCCAATTTCACAGCTGAGGAAAATCAAGCTCTAGAAGTTAAAGATTAAGTGCTTTGTCCAAGGTCACACAGCTAGGGAAGGCGGTGGGAATCAAATCAAATTTTGTATGATCTACAAATTGCCTTCTTTCTGTCATGACACACTGCCTTGAGGTACAACCATGATGAAATGTTGTGCTCTTCTGAAACTGACACTTTTGGGAGAAAGATAAATATAAAGATTCATAGCATTTGATTGGCTGCTTCAATAGAAATCTGGACACCAGAGGTCTATTGCTTCCACTCTTTTGCATATGGTTGATGTGGTCTCCTTCCCCAATCTCTGGCCACTTTTTCCATGTTCAACTCCTGCTCATGAATTTAGCTTCAGCTCAGTTATCAGTTCATCCAGAAAGTCTCCTAGGCTGAATTACTGACTTCCTCCTCGCTGCTCCCCCAGGACCTCAGTATTTCCCATTACCATTGCATTTATGTCATTGCATCTCACTGAGGACAGGAATATTCTTTTCATCTTTAGATCCTCAAGGCTGGCACAGATCCTGGGGCATACATGGCACTAATACAGGACCGTTGAATAAATGCATGCATTGTCATTGTGTGGACTGTGAAGATTCACGATGTCTCCCTCCATGATCAGAATCTCTTTATCGCCTAAAATAATAGCTGTAGTTGAAATCTTTTAAGTGGAGGCTACATAAGGAAGAAGGAGGTTCTAGGTTTCTTTACTAAAAAGTTCCATAACTAATCCCCCAAAACACATAATAGAAACTAGGTAGGGGGCAGTTCGTAGAAGGCAATTAACATGAGCTTCTACATGTCATGTAGCTTAGAGAAAAAAAGAAATCAAGTATTGACAAACCATTGAAAGTTCTATTCCCAAAATGTTATATCTCCCTATTGTTGGGCAGTGCCTACATTTTGGGGCATCACTCTCTTCTAGAATGTTTTGGCATGGCAAAGTGGGAGCATGCTACAGAGACATTAAGGAATGGTTAGGACTTGGTGGCTGATGTGAGTTCAAGAATCCAGGGTCTTCACATATTTCTTTCCTGTTTTTCTTTAAAGTCCCCAGTAGCCCAAAATATATTTTAAAAGAAAAACCCTTAGCATGTAGCTCCTAATTGTTTGAACTTTGGACAAATATCCCATCAGAAAATATCTGCCAGGTATGGCAGGACTGACCCCTGCCTATTATTCTGGCTTCTTCTCCCTACTTAATCTTCTTCCCTTGTTACACACCAGCCACATCAGCTCTCCCCACTTCCTGAACATTCCTAGGTCTTTCTGGCACATCCCATTTACTTTATTTATTCATTCATTGAGACAGGGTCTCACTCTGTTGCTCAGGGTGGAATGCAATGGTGTGACCATGGCTTACCGCAGCCTCAGCCTCCGGACCTCCAGGCTCAAGCGATCCTCCCATGACAGCCTCCCAAGTAGCTGGGACTAGAGGTGTGGTGCCAGCATGCCCCACTATTTAAAAAAAAAAAATTTTGTAGAAATGGGGTCTCACTATGTTGCCCAGGCTGATCTCAAACTCCTGGACTCAAGCAATCCTCCCGCCTCCATCTCCCAAAGTGCTAGGGTTACAGTCATGACCCCAGCCATGCTCTCCTCTTATTGGAGACGTTTACTTTTCTCTCTTCATCTACTCAACTCCTCCTCTTTTAAATCACAGCTAAATATCATTTTCTCAAGGAAGACCTACCTGATCACCTGGGTCTAGGTGGGATCCCCTGTTATTTGCTCTTGTTGCAACCCATGTTTCTCTATAGGAGAACGCATTACAATTGAAATTAAATAACTATGTGTGTAATAATGAGTTTGAGAACTGTCTTCCCCATCTGGCAACTCCCTAAGGGCAAGGACAACCCATATTTTTTTTTTCAGAACTATCTTCAGCACATGACATGGTGCCATTCATACTTAAAAATATGTGTTGGATAAAAAAATTTAAAAAATAGAATAAGCAAATGAGTGAATAAATAATGGGGCCTCAGTTTCTCCCTTGGGATTAAGTGGGTACCAGGCAGGACAAAATAAGCCACCTGTGCCATTCTACCCTTTCCATCCTGCTGTTTTTCCACCCTGCAGCTGCTTTCTCAAAGAATCCCTGAATCTCCTCTCTAAATAGTGCAAGCTTGCTGTTGGGAACACCCACAGATGCACTCTACAAATACACAACTCACTTTGAGTAATCATATTGATTCGGAATTATCGGCCATTCAAATACCTCATTGAAGATGCCATCTGGGATGTTATTGCTCTTCAGAGGTAGATCATATTCTGAGAAAATCTGTCAAAATGTAGAAATAACTCATCAAAATGGCCATTGCAGAATCTAGCTGCACTTCTTAAGGAAGCAGACTCTGATGCTGCGGGTTTCATTGCCCCTAAGTGAGATGCTGAAGGAAGAAGGGCTGTTTCTTTTCTGTTTTCAAGTGTCATGAGAAATTTAAAGTTCAGGAATGTGCAAGTTCAGAGTGCTCCTGGACTCCTTTGCTCATTCAGAGACATCTCACTGAAAACAAACATTCCTCAAGGTTATCTCTGGTCCTGGAGGGTATGTGCTTAAGCAGAACTGGGTTTCAGTTCTTCCTCAGCCACGTGTGGCCCATTAAGCCATGGGCAAGTTTCTTAAGCTATTGCAGACCCAGTTTCCTCACCTGTAAATTTTGAATAACAAAGTCTACTGCATAGGGCTATTTCAGGGCTTTAAAAAGATAAAGATTGTATAGCTTGATATGTAATGCCTGGAACTGATTAGGGACTCAAAATGTTTACCAAATAAGCTGGATTAAGCCATGATAGAATCTTAGATTTAAACTTTAGACAAAGTAATGGCATAAGGCACCTTTGACTACAACTTAGCGGTAGGAAAGATAAAACCATTCCAAGTGCCACTGGCAATGGTATGCAAGCAAACCAGTTCCAGTAGGGGTGGTAGAGAGTGTTTGCCTCTTTCATGGCGTAAATACTCCCAACATGGCCTGTTTCAAACAACCGACACATCAAAAATTAGCTCCCCAAAATTCTGAATATGTAACAATCGGATCTTGGAAGCCAATGAAAGTCAGCGTCATCAAACCACAACAGAAACACGTTGGTCTTGCCTCTGTGTTAGTGCCAATCCTTGACCATGCCAGGAGAAACCCAAAATGTAAGCCTCTCAGTAGATACCTGCCCCCTCGGCCATTCACGAGGAACACCTGGTGCTATCCCAGGTGCTCCCTGCTCCGCATTATTCCTTTCAGCTCCACAGCAGAGCTACCCTCCACCCTCCGTGGGCAGCATGCCATTGTTTTACTAGGGAAATTCAGTATTATTCAGCAGGCACTTTTGAATTGAAAATAACATTTAAAAAGGATTATCCCAGGCAAAGTCATCAGCTGCTGTGTACTCATTGAAGTTAAAACAATGCAAGATTGATTATTTTTGTAGACTATGCAAATTACAAATGGCATTGGTATTAAATCCTTGGTATTTGACTTCACCTCCAAGTGCTCCACAATTACTGTTTTCAAATCAAGAACCTGGATTTTTTTTTTTTTTAGAAAATCAAGCTATATATGTATATATTTCCCTTCCAGAAAAACAAAAGCAAAGGAAAATAATCACATCTGAAAGGCATTAATGATTCTAAACACATATGAAGTAAAAGACAAAATGCTTTGTGAAGCGACTTCAGCTCTCTGTTGCTTTCTGACCTCCCCCGTGACACCTACAAAAAAATGTCATGTCCTTGGTGGAGGTCTCTCATTTCTAATGGAATGGTTTTACCTTTTCCCACCACTATGCTGAATTCAACCCTCACTCGCAGCCTAGCCTAGTTGATTTAATCACTTTCACATCCACATTAGACAATATCATGGATGTTATCATTAATTTACCTAATAGCCTTTGATATGCACAAAACACCTTAAAGATATTAAGCTGTAGGACATCAGATACAGATAGGGGTTTAAGAGAGAATGATTTCTTTTACATGGTCTAGGGGTTAGAGGTGCTAACATTTGCATAACACTTACTAAATACCCAAACAGCATGCTGTAGCATGACATAAATTATGACAATGTATGATCACAGCATTTCAGAAAGACACATATTATTATTTCCCTCGTTGTACAAATGCAAAAACAGACGCTGAACAGTTAACATTTTCCAAGGAGGCAAGTGTAGAAATGGACAAGGCAAGATTAGAACCTGGGTCATTCTCACTACAAAAACCATTGCTTTCTCTGCTGCATCACTCTGCCTGATGAATTTATGCCCCAAGAGCTGTCTGAAAGCTTGTCTCATTCCCTTCATCTATTTAAAGTCAAAGCAAAAGCACATTCTGTCTCCACCTTGTCTAAAACTTGAACTTGAGATGATGTCATGGGGATAGTCAAATTAGATCAGTACAGATTCATCAAGGTCTTACTTCATTGGAGATGCTGTGCTGGGTGTAGAGTGACTTCAGAGTCCTTCCCAGTGGGAAAGCCAGCTTCTCTGCACAGAGAAGATGGCAAGTATGACAAGATAAAACCTGGTTACAGCCAGACCTGAGCTCCGCCCCCTCATCTCATAGGCCGGCTTGCTCTGCTCACATTAGCGCCATGCTGTCCACCTCCCTGCTCCTGTGCACTCCCTGCCCAGTTCCCAAGTCAGCTGAAGCCCACCTATTCCTTAGCTCTAGGATCCACCCATACATTTTCATTGTCCCCACCATAGCTGCTGTCACTGCCCCTGCACTTGGCTCCATTATCGCTTGTCTGGACTATTTAACCAATATAAGCTTTCCTCTTTATGTAATCCTACACAAACTCCCAGATTAGTCTTATGTTTACATATTCTATTTTACCATGACACTTCACTACTCCAAATAATTTCTAGACTTAAGAAAAATTAAGAAAGTAATAATTAAAAGCCTAGATAATAAAACAGATGAGAGCAGATTATCTTTAGTTTAGACTTCCGTTGAGGGGTTTTTGCCCTCTGCATTCCCTGTCTCACACCGCAGCGCCCCTCTGGGGCATCTTCACAGAACACTGGGGCAGTGCAGAGCACTGTGAGATCATACTTTGATCACTTATGGCCAGAGGAATAAATTTCAGCTCATTAGCCTGATAGTCAAGGCCCTTCTGTCTGGCAGGACAGGGAGCCACCCTATAGGGTTGCTGCAACGTTTAGAGTCAAAATATTCAAGGCACTTAGAGTATTCCTAGTACATGACAAATGCTCAGTAAATGTAGTTTGCTTTATTGGTTGTTGTTTCCAATCCTTATATCCATGTATGAACTCTAAACTTCAGTTTATGTGAACTCCTATGTCCTCTGTTCTCAACCCCCAATTGGCTCTCTCTAGTCATTACCACAGGCTATTTCCAAAGCCTGAAATCTCTTCCCCATGTACTCTCCGTATGCACAATCCTCTTGCTCTTCCAAATCCTACTGCCTCTTGGATTATCCCAGCTAGAAGTCGTTGGTCCTACCTCTGAATGCTTGTAGGCTTTTCCCTAGAACTCACCTGGAACCTGGTTGCATTACTCACTGTGTTACTGTATTCTGTCACTCTCACCTCAAAGAGCATCCTGTGGCCAGGTCGTTTGTGCCCTTGCCACTGTTCCTACCTACCATAGTAGGTTGCTTATAAGTGATGAGTAAAAGAATACAACCCACTTCATCCCTTTAAATGGTGATGCAACTGCTCAATTCATCAAGGATACCTATGGCTACAAGATGCTCCAAACTGTAATGTAAAAGCCAAAACGTCATAGAAGCTGAACAACTCCACTTCTCAAAATATTTCAAACCAATACTCTGCTTGTACCGTCAGGCTTGTTTTGTACCAGGGTAGGTTTCTTTCCTGTTGTTGATGGAGAGTTTTTCTCTCAGCAGGTGCTGATCTTCATGCTACCATTGCTCCAGCCAGTGGGTCATGACTCTAGTGAATGAAGAATCCCAGACAATGGAAGCTGCCCATGGCTTGGAACCTGCTTCCATGAAAGCCTGTGCCACCCTAGCCCAGTTCTGGCTGAGCTGTATTATTGGGTCAGCCTTCTAAGAGCTTCCCTGCCTTAGTTCTTCCCTTTTAGGTCAGCCTTAAAGCCTCATGAGAGGGCTTTTGTAAAGCATGGATGTACCCACATTCTTTAGTGTATCACTTCTATAAAGTTGTCAATGGGTTTCCATCATAAATAGCCACTTTCCTCCAAGTGTGATCCCCAGGACATCATCAGAAGCTCTTGGACTGCATGCTAACATGCAAACTCCTGAGCTCTGTCTGAAACCTAATGAACACCAGTAAGCTGCTTTTTCTCTCCAGTGGCTTCAAAGGTGATTTCTATGCACACAACCATAGGAACCTCAGACTTAAATAAAGGCCAGTTGTTGATTTCAACATTAAAATCTGAGCCAGACAATTTGTCTAGGTCCCCTGGAAGGAGCAGCATCCTTCACGTCTCTCTCCCTGCGCAGGCTATTGTTCCCTGTGGGCCCTCCTTGCCTTGCCTGTGTGCCACACGCACTGGGCCCATAATATCCTGCCACTTCCCTCCTGCTGTCTTGGAAATGTCACTGCTCCCACAAAACCCCTTGGTTTCCTAGACATGTTCAGTTATCACCATTCACAGCACCTTACCTACCTCGTGAAGCAGTGTTCTGTGAATATTAATCTACCTGCCTGATATGGTTTGACTGTGTTCTCACCCAATCTCACCTTGAATTGTAGCTCCCATAATCCCACATGTTGTGAGAGGGACCTGGTGGGAAGTACTTGAATCATGGGGACAGGTCTTTCCCGTACTGTTCTTGTGATAGTGAATAAGTCTCACAGGATCTGATGGTTTCATAAAGGGCAGCTCCCCTGCACAAGATCTCTTGCCTGCCACTATGCAAGATGTGCCTTTGTTCCTCCTTTGCCATCCACCATGATTGTGAGGCCTCCCCAGCCATGTGGAACTGTGACTCCATTAAACCTCTTGCCTTTATAAATTACCTAGTCTCTTATGTCTTTATTAGCAGCATGAGAACAGACTAATACAATGCCTTTGCCCCATCAGCCACCCATCTTCAAAAGCTGGAACCACACATAGATTTAGTTAGAATAATACTTTCCTTAGTATAGATTATAGTTTATGACCTGCAGACACACGTGGTGTGGTTCTTTGCCCTGCAGCTGCCTCTGAACAGCACTGACCACATCACTGCACCTCCCTGAGTCTCAGTATCTTCATCTGAAAATGGCCACAGCATCCCTCCCTAATTTCAACTTTTTTGATTAAATGAAATAATGCATGCAATGGGCTTAGAAGAGTACTCAATAAATACCAACTACATTTTTATTGTTAGTAATATGATCATTATTTTATTATCCTGTTATCCCAAAAGTGAAACAAAAATGCCTGCTGCCAACAGACAATAAATCATTGTAGATTTTATCTCTTCATAATGCTATTGGGATAAGGTCTACGTCCAGGATGCAGAAAATAAAGAATCTGCTTTTTTCTTTCTTTCTTTTTCCTCTCTTACCTTATAGGAGACCAATGACTGGACTCTGCTGGCTTGTAAACCAGAACCAAATTCTATTAATGGGGCTCCTGTGACTTCTGATGATTCTCCCATGGTGCAGGCAGGACAGTGCCACAGTGGAGGCACCAGGGACATTGTGTCTCGGCCATGAAATGGGCTGCTCCAAATTGCCCTGCACACACCAGAGGCCAGGTTAGAATGTACAACAAGATTCTACTAGACACTGTGGGTAATAAAAAAGAAGAAGGAATAAAGCTGTCCTCTTATACATCCTCATGTAAGGATGCTTACATTCTTTGAGCATCCTTCTAAGTGCTTTATTCAGTCAAAAAACATTTACTAAGTATCTACTTTAAAAAACCCCTCTATTAAGGGCTAGACAAAAATTCCTGCACTTGTGAAATTTGCATTCTCCTGGAGAGAAAGATGCAATAAAAAATAAGCATAATACATTTGATATTGTAAGATGACATGTGCTGTAACAAAGAAAAACGAATAGATCACAGTAAGGAAGACTTACATGTATTACCTCAATGGCCATTATTGTATAGACAGATGCTTTTATTATTACCTCGATTTTATACATGCAGAAATTGAAGCACAGAGAGGTAAAGTAACTTGCCCAACTATCTGATCAAAGAATCAGATCAGATTGAATTCATGCCTTCTGATTTCAGAGACCATGGTGTTAATTATAGTGCATGGTGACAACCAGTTGCACTAGTCAAGATGGAGCACCTGCCCAGCCCAGCTTGTGTCCAGTCCTGCTCAGTTCCAGGCTACCAGGAGAGGATGGAACAGGACAGCTCACCTCCCTTCACAGACAGGGACCTGAGCATCTCTAGTAAGGACCGGAAAGACATTTTTTCCTTCACTCCGGCCAAATGCCTTTCCTCATGGAGCTTAGGGTCACCTTCAGAATTCTCACTGGTTCCTGTCATACATTCAGCCTCCTTTCAGGGAGATGACAATAGTAATGTCCACGTCTTCCAGGGAAAGCCAATTCCTCCCAGCGATTAAAACATCATACAACCTCGTCATTTAGCGTTAGGTATATCTCCTAATGCTATCCCTCCCCCCTCCCCCCTCCCCCCACCCCACAACAGTCCCCGGTGTGTGGTGTTCCCCTTCCTGTGTCCGTGTGTTCTCATTGTTCAATTCCCACCTATGAGTGAGAACATGTGGTGTTTGGTTTTTTGTCCTTGCGATAGTTTGCTGAGAATGATAGTTTCCAGCTTCATCCATGTCCCTACAAAGGACATGAACTCATCATTTTTTATGGCTGCATAGTATTCAATGGTGTATATGTGCCACATTTTCTTAATCCAGTCTATTATTGTTGGACATTTGGGTTGGTTCCAAGTCTTTGCTATTGTGAATAGTGCCGCAATAAACATACATGTGCATGTGTCTTTATAGCAGCATGATTTATAATCCTTTGGGTATATACCCAGTAATGGGATGGCTGGGTCAAATGGTATTTCTAGTTCTAGATCCCTGAGGCAGCACACCAACATGGCACATGTATACATATGTAACAAACCTGCACGTTGTGCACATGTACCCTAAAACTTAAAGTATAATAATAATAATAATAATAAAAACATTATACAGCCTCAGTACTTTTTTTGGTGTTAAATAATGTCACATTTTGCATCTCAAAAGGCTATATCTATGTTGAACCATGCCAAACCCAGTATTTAAGTTTTTCTCCCAGTATTTCAATATAATCAGTTAGGCCTGTGCCTGCATGCGCCTGCTACAATATTCCACGTGGCTGCCAATACACGTCCAAAGAAGAACGCTCATAACTCTAACAGAAATTGACATATACATAATGAAAACATAATTTTCCCCCAAAGTTACAGAATGACCAGCTATACATCTTTGTAGAACCTGCTATCTGCCTAAATCACCTACATGCAAGTAGGTCAAGATTTTCATTTTCTCCAGGAACTTGGGTGAGGCGTAAAGTTCTGGTATCTAAGAGCCCCGTGAAGTGATCTCCCTAGAAAAAGAGACATTGCTACAATGATAAATGCAAATTTAAGTCTGTGAGACAGAAAACAATTTAAGGGTTTGAAATGGCAATTTTCATGTTTCAAAAATCTTAGAGACACTGTCATATCCAGGGCCCTCTGTGATGAGTGCCACTGCTAGGACATCACAGAATTGCTGAGATTGAGAGAATCTAAATGGCTCATCCCATCTATCAATCCATGACAGAACAGAGTAAGATCCTCATCGGTGACAAAAAAAGCCCCCTGCAAGGAATGCTGTAGAGTAGCCCTGTCTCTCTACACCTCTCTCCTTCCCCACCATCTTGCATCCATGTCTCTGTGTGCACCTGCTGTCCCTCTCTAAGAGGCCATTGTGATTCTTTCCCACTTCCAAAACGCCTACCCATGCTATCATCGTAGCTGGTTCTCACCTCCTCTATGAAGCCCTTCTCCTCTGAAAGCTTTGCCCATGTCTGAATCTCCATTCTGCCCACAGATAAGAAATTAGTGGTTTTCAAAGTTTAGTGTGCATCCACTCTCTCCCCACTACTACTATATACACTTGATAAAAACAATCATTCACTCTGCTCACATTTGTCAATCATTTATATTAGACCAGCAACTATTTCAGCTACTATAGAACTACAGTGATACAGCTGAGCCATTTGGATCAAGTCGCTGTGTTCATAGAGCTTACAAAAGAGTAATAAAGCAGCCATAGATTTCCCATCTGCTTCACACACAGGCATTGTAAGCATTCAATGGATACCTGCTGATTGATTTACTGATTGGCTGAATCATTAATATTTCTTTGTATTCAACAGCTATGACTTCAAGATCCTAGTTTACACCAACTAGTGTGGTACAGCCTGCAATTTCCAGGGTGAACATAAAGAAACAGTGTCCACTTTCATGGAGCTTTAAACCAAGTTACTTATGTAAAGCTTAGAGTTAAGTCATTTATTTTTCAAAAAAATAGTTTGCAGAAAGATTTCTGGGCAAATGCATCTTCTCACCAACAGTTACTAAGCATCCACATTAGTGGAACTGATTTTATTACCTCAGAGATTTTATTTAACCCACACTAATGTGTGCAGTTGGTATGACTCTGCAGGTGAAGGTACTGATGTTCAGGAAAGTGAAGTGACTCGTCCAAGCTACTCAGTCAGTGAGTTAGTGGTAGACCTGGGACTCCCACATAGATGTCCTGGGTCCAAACGCCAAACATTATCCTTATCCCCAAACATCTGGGAATGCTTTTCTTGTTTTTGAAGATCAGAATTGTGCCAGTGGCTTTTACAAAATCAGATATAATACAGATGCAGTTGAGACCCTCATGAAGATGTAAGTATTTTGGAAAAATTAATAAGGGACAAAGTAATGTTAGAAAGCAGGAATTTTAGAATGAAAGAAAGAAAACGAAGACATTAGATTGAAGAGGTTAAGTAAATACCTTGTAAAGTCCAGAATTAGACCTCAAATATATCCCATCCAAAATTATCCTCATCCCATCCAAAAATTATACCTCATTTCTGATATTTACAAAGGGAGTTCTCAGTTTTTCTGTTCAAAGTACTTTTTATCAGTTTAATCTATGTCCAAAGATTTTTTTTAATTTGATAAGGTAATTTGTCAAAGAAGAAATAGCGACTGGATTTCGTTAATTTTATTAAATAACTTGCTTACTGTTCATAAAATACTTTAAGTAATGTAGAAGGAAACTCTACAACATAATGGAGATCCTCAAATTACATCTTCATTTCACAATTATATTAAGATTACACTTCAGAGATCCTTATAGGCTCATGATAAAGTAACCCAAGTAGTTTGTCTTACAAACAAATGAGATCTTTCTGTCTCTGGTATTGGATAATTACTGTTCCAATAAAAGATCCAAGAGTTTGCCAAGCTTTTCCTTGACCCAATGACTACAGCATCAATAGTAAGTAATCCTTGTATCGTTACTTCAGCCGAAAAAAACATCTAGTTATTAGTTGTGGCTTGGTTTGGTTTTTCCTTGGATTTCTAACTCATTCCTGAGCAGAAAGGGGCATTGTATTTTATGTTAGCAATATTTCTTGTTTATTCTCATAACCCCACTTAATGAAAAATAAAACTTGGTCCAGCTTCTCAGTGTCTTCTGGCTCTTTGTTGAGAACAAACAGATTTGAGACACAAATCCATGGTAGCAGTGTGGGAAGCCATCAATATATTTTAAAGTCAGCGGGTATAGTGGAAGAAAATAAAAGGCTGCCAACTCAGCCTTGGGTTCTAGCCTCCTAACTTCTTGTGAGTAAACTTTGGAAAATTATTTAACTGCACGGAGCCTTTGTTTCCTCAGCTGTGAAACAGGGTAATCCCAATAGGATCATTGGAAAGACTGAAATAAGATCAGGTATGTAAAATATTTAACATATGGTAGCATCCAATAAATATTACTTATTACTCTCTCTAGCTTTTGGGTTTAATATTGTAACTTTCTGCTGGATTTTTAAAGAGAAACACCATATCTATGTATTTATCTGCATACTATGTATATATTCATATAGATAGAGGTGTAGATATAGCTCTAGACATACAAACATTTATGTGTGTGTTTGCAGATTTCTATTTAAAACAGAATTTGTTAAGTCTATCTCTTTCAAATGTGTTGCACTTTAAAATCCACCTATTTCCCTCCACTTATAACGGTTCAACTTGCATAATATTCTTCCATAACTCACATGAGCAATGCTTCCATGATTCATTGGTTGTCCTCTTTTCCACCTTCCCAAGTTTGGCAAGGTCCTTCCCATAATTAAACCACTGCTAGAGTCCTTGACATACAAAGGAAGTCAAACTTTCTCTAACAGAGCTAGCTGTGCCCAATCTCAAATCCATATCCACTCTAGTGGAAAAAGCAGTAATTCTTCTGTATGTACTGCACTTCTGGGCACTACAGGCATAAAATAAATAACATTTACTTTCATATATCGTGTCTTCTTAGGGATGTCCTGAAAATGGACTCCTTTTGATGCTGTTCTCTTAGGGAAAGAATTCAGAGTTAGAAAATAAAATTTTTTGCTAAAGGCATCTTGGTGGAAAATGTCATGTTACATGAGAAAATTTGTCTGACTCCTCAGTTCCTGTCCACTCTCCATTGATTTATTCTTTCTTCCATTCATCTCTTTTTTCCCCTTTATGCTCTAACTTTAAACATTTTTGGAGCTATTGTGATATGTCAAGACCTTTGAAACACAGGGCTAAATAGACTATTCATTTTTTAAAGGTTAATCACCAAAAGTCAGTTTCCAGGTGTTTAAATGTTAATTTTTAAAAGACATGAAAATAATGTATAAATTGTAAATCACTACATTTTTATGGTGCAAATGCAAAATTGTCACTGGGGAGTGATACAATTCTGCCTTTTCTATGTATTTTGTCTTATAAATACCTTACGAGTGGTAGAAAACTCAAATGATGCTTTAAATAACTTATCTGGCTCTATGTGCTTCAATAACTTGCATGGGGAAACTTAATTCTCAAAGATTTAAGAAGATTACTTTGTACCTTTTCAATTCCAGATCAGTATGGAATCTATCATGTGAACCTGGCTTGGACATTGCAAATATGTATAGATTTCAGTTTTAAAAGGTAGTCACAGATCAAATAACAAAAAGAAAACATTTGCAACTTAGATCACACAGACTCTGTAATATCCCTCATATAGAAGAACATCTTCTAAAACCAGAGGATAAAAATAACAACAATCTCATTCTGAATATTCCTTTCAAATCTTTTTCATTTTCCTGTCCAGGTCTTCTGCTCTGTTCTCACAGAAAGGATAATAGAGTAGTGGTTAGAAATTCCAGAGCTGAGCCTGGAATACTCAAGACTACTCGCTAACTCTGTCACTTAAGGCAATAAACTTTATCCTCCCAAGTCAAAGTTTGCTCATTTGTAAATGGGATGCTAACCTCACGGGGCTATTACAAAGATTCAATAGGATAGTCAATGCAAAGTACTTAACAAAGTGGCTGATGAGAAAGACTTCTCTATAAATGGTAGCTATTATTTTTTACACAGTTATAATCCTAGTGCATTTCCCATTAAATATCCTGCTTATTTCTTTTACACCTAGTTGGATATTATACATGCTTTTGAAGTTGCTACATAGCTGTCATAATTAAAATGTTTAGTTAATTCATCTAGGCAATGGGTATGTCATCATTTAACTTATCCTGTGCTGGCTTTTTCTGATATTAAGCTCTAATTACACACACACCCCCCACAAATTAATCTCTCAATTTATGCATCTTTTTCTATATTTAGAATTGTCAAACCCAGGAAAGACTCCCAGAATGCCTATTACTAAATAGGAATATATTTACACCATTTGACAACATGCTTCCTAGAAAAGATTTATAAAAACTTACTGCCATCAGCAATGTAAATGTGCAACCATTCCACTGCAACTTTTTTTTTTAGATGGGGCAGAAATTCTTTTATTATTATTATTATTATTATTATTATTATTATTATTATTATCATACTTTAAGTTTTCCTTTGTAGGGACATGGATGAAGCTGGAAACCATCATTCTCAGGAAACTACTGCAAGGACAAAAAACCACTGCAACTTTTATGTTATCATTTTCCATTGAAATAAGAGATGCAAGATGGTACTTCATGGTTGTTCTACTTAGCACTCTTTGTTACTCAGACTAAACCTTGTAAATGTTTATTCATGGGACGCATTTCTTTATGTATCATTATAAAATTCTTTCTTAATTATTTATAAACATTTTATATATAAATGTCATTCATCCTTTTTTGTTAATTACTCTCATGTACTGTTTCCCTTTTAAAACCATGGAGCGGAATTATTTCTCCTCTTATGCATTAAGGGCAGGTGCATTTTGTTGCATTCATGCCTTTGCCCATGTGGAAAATATCATACCTGGCTCTTGTTTCTCATTTTTAAGCAATCTGTCTATCATTTCTGATCTCCTTTCTGAGCTAAAGTCTTTTCATCTGAGTTCATTCTCTTACACACTCCATCCCCCTGAAATTGCACTAAGAACCCATGATCAGATCACACCACCACTGTAAACCCTCTACTGAGCACTATTGTTCCTCCAGGCATCTGAAATGGCTCTAACGTTCAAGTTCCTAGTGTCAATGGGGACTGTGCTACCCTCATCCTCACTAGATGCTGAGTTTTATGTCCACCTATTATTTTCTGTTCACTGCCACCAATTCATAGAGTGCATCAATTTTCTTTCATTTTTGTTTCTCAACTCCTACGGCAAAGTTTAGCACTATAAAATATGTGACATGACTTGAGGATGAAGCAGCAGCTCCCTGCTGAAACTTCAGAGCAAGAAGCAGTTTTTTTTTTTTTAGAAAGTCAATGAGCTACCAGCTGTTTGCCTAAAAAAGATATGGCAGCATTAGCCACGCAGATATTCTGCAGTTGTTCCCTGGCCATAATGATAAAAAAATTTTTAAGACTCAACTGCATATGTCTTCCAGGAAGTGGCCACAGATACCAAGCTGTTACTAACAATGACCAGTAAGGAGACATGTTAACTTTGTAATGGATAAGCTGTGTCAAGATGCCATATTCAGGCATTGTCAAGGTCACTTTTTATTTTGTGATTCCTTCTACAATTACAGAGAGATATGTAAATGGAAGATATTGTTTTTAGAAAGGTTGCATGACATTAAAGTGTGGTTTATTCTACTGAAAAATACCAGTAAATACCACTTAGAAGAAGTGTTGCCCAGACAAAGCAAAGCAAACATTCATTTGATCTTTCCATTTCCCCATGTCTCATTTTATAGTAACAGTATCAAAAAAAAAAAAAGTATCAACAATTTGCTTGGAAAAATGTACTGGGGACAGACTTGACACCAGGGTGAATTGTAACTCCCCAAATGATGAAAATAACAAAGACAAATTGAATCATTTCTCCAGATGGCACATAGTAGGGATGGCTAATTTGCATAGAAAAGGAAATCACTCAACTTTATATATCCAATATATGAAACCTCAAGTTCCTACCACCTGGTTTATAAGCATCTCACCTAAATGGTATGTCTACTCTCTCTCCCCAGTCTCCTTCTTGAAACCTACTGCGGCTATGAAGCTTGAAGTAGATAGATGTTGGAGAAATTATGACGAAAGTGTGTTTTTCCTTCCTTTCCAAAAATATTTGAGATACCGGGATTTATCACGGAAATATCGGAACAATTAAAATACTGAGGGTGGAAGAGAGAGAAAAAGACAGAACGAGAAAGTGAATATCTGGTCACCCGAAACAGAAATCTGGGAATCATCCTTAATTTATCCCTCTCTGGCCCCTCCTTTACATCCAGTCACTTACTAAGGGCTGTGATTTCTACTTTCTAGAAAATATTTCTCCAGGGATTCCCACTCCAGATGATCTCTTCCTAGCTTTCACTGTCTGCTAACTGGTTTCCCTATCTTCTGACTCCATCTCACCTTTCAAACTCTTCACTCCAGGCACGTGAGTGATAGTTCTAAAAGGCAAATACACACATTTCTTTTATGACGTTTCTTATTTTACAAAGCAGAACTTTTGCTTTATCATCTACGGAGAAGAAAACTTTGTTCTCATGCTGGGATGGGAGAGAGAAAGTTGCTCAGCAGAGCGGGGAAGTAATCTGGAAATCAAACTACTTCTCAGATGCGCATTCAACAGGGAGCCTGCTTCTGAAAAGCACCATCTTTACTCTCACTTCCAGAGGTACGCAGTGTTATCCTGAGCCATCTGGGGGATTCTGGGGTCTAAAATGGATTGCCTCTCAACTTTCCTCATGACCAGCTTATGATTCATTTTTCTCAGTACTACTAAGTCACTATTCTTCATCCTTTTGCTTTCCAGCTTCCAAAATTTTGTGCATGTGCTTGTTCCCTTTTTTCTTCTTATTTATGCCTTTTTCTTATTATTTCAATAGGTTTTTGGGTAACAGGTGGTGCTTGGTTACATGAATAAGTTCTTTAGTGGTGATTTCTGAGATTTTGGTGTACTCATCAACTGAACAGTGTACCCTGCACCCATGTGTAGTCTTTTGTTCCTCATCCACTTCCTACCTTTTCCCCAAGTCCCTAAATTCCATTGTACCATTCTTATGCCTTTGCATCCTCATAGCTTTTCTCCCACTGATGAGTGAGAACATACAATGTTTGGTTTTACATTCCTGAGTTACTTCACTTACAATAATGGTCTCCAATTCCAACCTGGTTGCTGCGAATGCCATTATTTTCTTTATCCACTTGTTGATTGATGGGCATTTGGGCTGGTTCCATATTTTTGCAATTGTGAATTGTGCTGCTATAAACATGCATGTGCAAGTATCTTTTGCGTATAATGACTTCTTTTTCCTCTGGGTCGATACCCAGTAATGGGATTGCTGTATCAAATGGTAGTTCTTCTCCTAGTTCTTCAAGGTTTTGCTCTATTGCCTGGGCTAGAGTACAGTGATGCAATCATAGCTCACTGCAGCCTCAAACTCCTGGGCTCAAGCAATACTCCCACCTCACTGTCCCAGGCTACAAGCCTGTGAACCACATCCAGCTAATTCTTTTTTTTCCTTAGAGATGGGGTCTGGCACTTATGCTCAGGCTTGATATCAAAGTCTCGGGTTCAAGTGATCCTCCCACCTCTGTCTCCCAAATCACTGGGCTATTAAAGGCATGAGCCACTGTACCCAGCTGATGCCCTTTACAGAAGCCCAATATTGTCATTTTAATGGGATTTTGAGAGGAAGAGAAAATATGTAGTATTTGTATATTCAATCTAACATATTTACCTGGAATTTACCTGTAACTGTTTTTTTACATAAATACAATAAAATAGTCACACTCGCACATCCCCAAATACATATATGCAGTGTATGTGTAGAGAGGGAAAAGGAATATTTTCAAAATATTTAGAAATTGTGTTGAGTCATGGTGTGGTACAAATATGAAGTTACTAGAAATCACATCATTTTTTAATATGGAACTTTATAGTCCGAAAAAGTTTATGATTTCTATGCTGTTGAATCGTAGAGCACACAAGTAAAAATAAAAATAAAACATATTAAAGGTTCACCCACAGTGTGCCATCTGAAGTCAAACCGTGTGTTTTATCTGCAGCTCTTGTGTATTATGAAATACACAGTTTCATAAGGCATAATGTCAGAGTATTTGTAGCTATCATTTTTAATTGTCATGGAATGTTTTATTGCATTGTAGCTTAGTTCATTTTGTGCTGCTATAACAGAATATCTGAGACTGAGTAATTTATAAAGAACAGAGACTTATTTCTCATATTTCTGGAGGCTGGGAATTCCAACATTGAGGGGCCATATCTGGCTAGGGCCTTCTTACTGTATTATCCTATGGTGGAAGGGCAAAGAGAGGGCAAGAGAGAGTAAAAAGGGCCAGAGGATGAACTCATCATTTCATCAGGAACCCATTCCCATCATGAGGAACCATTCCTGTGACCACAGCATCGATTCATTCATAGGAACAAAGTCCATATGACCTAATCGTGTCTTAAAGGTCACACTTCTCAACACTGTTGCACTGGGGATTAAGTTTTCAACTCATGAACTTTGGGTATATATTCAAACCATAGCAGATTGACATGCCATTATTAACTATTTCATCTCCATATTGTTTTCTTGCCATAAATAAAACATGCAAATTATTGCACTACTGCTGCAGATTATCTATCCCTATTTTACTGTAAGTTCTACAGCATTTGGCATTATCATTTTAAGATCGTCTTATTTAGTGGTGATGCCTTTGTTTTATTTTTTATTTTTAAATTTTACTTTAAGTTCTGGGATACATGTGCAGAATGTGCAGTTTTGTTATATAGGTATACACACGCCATGGTAGCTTGCTGCACCTATCAACCCATCATCTAGATTTTAAGCCCCGCATGCATTAGTACTTGTCCTAATGCTCTCCCTCCCCTTGCCCCTGATCCCCCGACAGGCCCTGGTGTGTGATGTTTTCCTCCCTGTGTCCATGTGTTCTTGTGATTTTTAAATATTTTATTTCCAGCATTTACTGCAAAATTGTGTTTTCTATTGTGGGGGATGTTTATATCATCTATTTTTACTAATTAGTTATGAGTTTCCTAACTGAATTGGAATGAACTCTCTTTCATTAGACAGATACTCATAGTGTGTTGCAGAGCTACAGAGGATGAGATTTGACTTTTGCTTTCTTTGAGTTCACAAGCTAGTGGAGTACAAGCTTTAACAAGCCCAAGAGTAGTGGTGTTGTCATCAGGGAAGCACCAGCTAAGGATGCCATGTGCCTGTCTGGAGAACAGCATGGAGAGGGCATTCCAGGTTGATGGAAAAGGAGAATCAAAGACAGGAGGCATATGCTTAGAAAATACAAGAAATTAAGACACTTACTGTCTTAATTTCTGACATGTGCTGCAAGTGGCATTTCTCATCTTTTTTACTTTGAAAACTATTTAATAATTTTTCAATGCATGTATATAATCAAATTTGCTGACTAGACTTTTGGGTTGTTTTCATTTCTTTAAAAATCATTCCAACAGGGTCTGGGTCATCACAGTTGACTTGAACAAAAGTTTAATAAAATTGCCACAGCTAACACCTCTCCTTAGGGGCAGTAAGGCAAGCAAATAAAAAAATTTTAACCATAAGTTACTGATAAAGAAGTATTTGATAAAGACAACATTGCATTAGAATTGTATTCTCACTGTGCCTCTCTGAAGGGTTTTGGCTGTTGTATGTTAAAACGGCAATTGGCTTTGCTGCTCATTATTCTGAGTAAAGATGTAGTCATTTGGCTTTTAATGACAGACATGGAATGTGTCTGCAGGGGCCAGATCTGGCTCCATTCCTGATCTAGAAATACTTTTAAAATACAGGACTTTAAAAATGCAGTGGTCTTTGTTATATCTTCTTGCAGTTAGATACAAGGAGTCACAATTTCTACCATACAACTCTGAGGGTTTGATTAATGTTTGGACAATATTTCTTTATTAAAACATATGTGAGTAAAAGGGATATAAGGATATGGCTCTTTTCTTCAGGAGTTTATAGACTATTTAAGGTGAGCATATACTTAGATGACTGTATTCCGTCATCCACTTGCTTGTCTATTGCTCTCACTAGAGTGTAAGCTCCTTGAAGGCAGGAATTGTGTGTTACTCATTCTTGTGTCCATAATGCCTGGCATATAATGGAAGCTCAACAAATAGTTCGCTTATTATGTGGTTGAAAGGAGACATCTGTGTACGCACAGCTCTAGTCTTGCTGCTCTGTGTTTTCAACATGGGATAAACATGTGAGCATGTGGGGGATGAAGAGAGGATGGCCAGCTGGAAAGGATGAAAATAGGCTGCTAGAGGAGCCAGCTTGTGGGTGTGGGCTGTGGGAAAGCCTGGAGCATGCAGAAGTTGAGGGAAGGGTGGTTCAGGCAACAGAGGGAAAGGCAAAAATGAAAGTAGAGCAGTGAGTCCCAGCAACAGTGAGCAGCTCTGAGGAGGGGGAATCATTGGGTATAGGGAGGAGAAAAAAGGGGAATCAGGGAGCAGGTGCCTAAGTTCTGCAGTGCTATCAATAAAGCTAAGGGATGTTAGACTACTTTCAGTAGGCAATATGAAAGCATCCCCATTCTAAAAATAAATCAGAAGCAGAGGACTGGCATCCTCAGATTTACACTTTTGAGAACTCATTCTAGTGGCAGTGTAGGCAGAGAGAGGGAAAGGGAAACCTGGGGAGAGGGAAGCTGATCATCGAGCTGTTGTGATGCTATATGTGAAACTAAAATAAGGCAGGTGCCTGGACTATGTGCTGAAAATACAATCCTAAGCAGACAGACAGATACCTTATCTGCATGAGAACGCAATTACAAGCTGCGATGAGAGCAATGAGGTCTGATCCAGCATAGGGGGTTGCTAAAAAGGTTTCAATAAGAGCTGAATGTGTGACTCGAGGCCTGATGATCAGACTTGTGCTTATTTGATGAAAAGGGTTTGCAGAGGATGAGGGTAGTGGAGGAGGATACCAGGCACAGTGGGGAGCCTGAAGAAAAGCCTTCTCTTAGTGGGGAACACAGAACATTTTGTGAATGCCGTACCAAGTTCCGGGTGGCTGAAAGCATTGAGTGGAGGAATGCTTGCTGAAGACAGCAACAGAGCCAGGCCAGATCAAGCATGGCCAACCGTGGTGAAGAAGTATTGAATTGTTTCAAGCAGAGAGGAGGATACTACCAGATGGTTATTTGAAATGCTCATTCTGGATTTTTTTTCTAGAAAATTGATTATAAAGAGCAAGAGGTTGTATGGATACACCAGTTAGGTGGCCACTAAAGGTAAGAGGTGATGGTTGCTGCTCAGACCAGACAGTTGTTGAAGTGAAAGAATTCCACAATTCGTTAGGAGATTGATGGCTCATGAAAGTTAGAAGTGATTACTAGTGCCATTTGCTCTAATAGAAAACGCAAAAAAGAGACCAGATTTTGAAATTTAGTGTGGGGAAGACAACAAATTTGATTTTGGACATGGCAATTTTGAGGTGGATTTGAGAGATTTGATAAGCAGAAACATAAATAGATCTGAATTTTGGAGTACATATAAACTTTAGTCATTAACTTAGGATAACCCAAGTCCTCAAGGCTCTCTCTTCTCTAGGAAATTAGGAAGGACATACACATGCATGTAGTAAAGGCAGAGCATCCCAGCATAGAGTCCAGAGGAGCTCCGAGGAGAATGGAAGCTTGTAGGGGCATAGGGGAGCTGCTTCATATTTTCAAGACTCTCACTGCAATAGGGAACTTAGGTAACCAGGCTTGTTCTCCCACACCAAAGAGAAGACTGGAAACTCATGGAAGTGGTGACATTCCCCTAAGGCACACATTCCAGGCTGAGCATTTAAATCAGTTGATACTTCTTCTGTATCTTATTTAAGACTTTAGTACATGAGCTCTTAGGAGACCAAAAGTTATTTTCAGTATCAGAAACTGGTGAGTTTCTAACAAGAATTTACCCTAAACACAGAAAACAATTTTTTTAAAAATAGGGCTTACTTCTGGAAGGCAGGATAATGCACAGAACACACCACCCCTTTCTCCAAGATGCCCACCATCTTAATTCAAAAAACTGAATTTGTCACCTTGCATGGAAAAAGGAACTTTGCATATGCAATTAAGGGCCTTGACATGAATAAATTATCCTGTTGGACCCAATCTGGTTACATGGGTTCTTAAAAGTGGAAGATGTTTCCTGGTTGTGGTCAGAAGGAAATGTGACCATGGAAGAAGGGTCAGAGGGATGCAATGTTGCTGACTTTGAAGATCGGAAAAAAAATGAACTGTGAGCCAAAAAATGTTAGCAGCCCCTAGAAACAGGAAAAAACAAGGACATAGATTCTCCCCAAATGCCTCCAGAAGGAATGCAACCTTGCCGACAACTTGCTTTTAGCCCAGTTCATCCTGTTTGGGACCTCTAACCTTCAAAATGTTAAGACAATAAATTTGTGTTGTTTTAAGTCATCAGGTTTGTGGCAATTTGTTATAGCAGCAACAGAAAACTAATACATCTTATAGGAAGAAGCCTACATTTGAAGTTGTATGGTGGGCTCAGCAGGAATCATCTGACTCAGGACGGCCAAGCAGTTGGGACCTAAATTTAGGTGAGTGTGTCCAGTGAAGCAGTGACCCCAGGCCTGCCACACTGCAGCAGCCACTTATTCTCATAGGAGTCAGTTTACTCCTTGGAGCTGCTGTACAGATGGCATCTGCTTTCACCTGAGTGATACATCTGGAGCATAAACACTCAGGCACATACCATCATCACCAAAACAGAATAACCTGCCAATAAGCAGGGTTGAGAAGGCTGCACCAAGATATCAACAGCTGAGGCTGGGCACAGTGGCTCACTCCTATAATCCCAACACTTTGGGAGGCTGAGGCAGGTGGATCATGAGGTCAGGAATTTGAGACCAGCCTGGCCAACATGGTGAAACACCATCTCTACTAAAAAATAAAATACAAAACTTAGCCAGGCACAGTGGCGGGCCCCTGTAATCCCAGCTACTCAAGAGGCTGAGGCAGGTGAATCCCTTGAACCCAGGAGGCAGAGTTTGCAGTGAGCCAAGATCTTGCCATTGCACTCTAGCCTGGGTGACTAGACTCCATCTAAAAAAAAAAAAAAAGATCTCAAGAGCTGATTAAAAGTGGTTGTAGATACCGAATAGTGGCAAAAATAAATGATAGGTAGGCAGGTAGATAGATAGATAGATAGATAGATAGATAGATAGATAGATAAAGAAAATATGGAATTTGTTCACACAATTATGGAAGCTGACACATCCCATGAAGTCCAGTAGGCAAGCTGAAAACCCAAAAAGGCCAATGGTGCAAGTTAGAGTTCCAGGACATAGAAAGACCAATGTCCCAGCTTAAAGACAGTCAGACAAGGAAAGCACATTTCTCCCTTACTCAGCGTTTAATGGATTGGATGAGTGTCACCCACACTGGGGAGGGCCATCTACTTTACTCAGTCTACCAATTCTAATATCAATCTCCTTCAGAAACACACTCATGGACTCACCCAGAATGATGTTTAACCAAATATCTGGGCAGCCATGGCCCAGTCAAGTTAACACAGAAAATTAACCATCATAGATAGACAGATAAACTGATAGAGATAATCAGAGGCATCCTTTCAATTAAGATCACCCATTTTCCAAACTGAACAAAGCTAAAATTCTTGGAGTAAGAAAGAAAATAATAGCAATCAAGAATTGCTGCACTTTGCTTGATTTTGCACAAAAAGGAATGGCTATAGGCACCATGGTTGGAAGGACATTCTGTCCTCATTCATTGCTTGAACAACACCAATTGCCAGTAGCCAATCATGAAATGACAGAGATTAGAAGACAGTGCAAAGTGCTCTTAGCTTATCTGTGCATGTATTTTGTTGATGGTGTTTGCTTGCTCTCTCATTTTTTATCATTGGTTTTGGAGAGGTGTACCTCCCAAAGCCACAGTTTGTCCTCCTTTTCTACTTTGAGCTCTATCCTGAGCCCCAACTTAAACTCCACTGGTGTCCTCCCATGATCAATGCTGGAAAGCATTGACCCATGAAGCAGTACTGTGTCCTGTTGGATCCCATCCTGGGAAGGCAGAGTGAATCCATAATAATGCGATATCCTACTGCATGTGTTTTTCTACAGTCCTCTGTGGTACAGACTTCTGACTTTTGTTTCTTTTTTTTTTTTTCCCAGAATGGAATAATTAATTTAAAACACTTTCTCTTGCTCACATTGGTCATTTTTATAAAAACCTATGTGTCAGGACATTTAAGACACTCCTCTTTACCAGGGGTGAAGGTAGGAAGGAACAAAGCCAGTAAAACAGAAGATAACCCTGGGCACCACATATATAAAGATTTCATACAAACAAATAAAGAAAACAAAACAAAAACTAGCACCCAAATAGGCAAGTAATGGACATGAAAAAAATCCATGAAACAGGAGTTAGAAATGACTAACACATACATGGGGTAAGGAAGATTTTCAAACTATCTAATAAAAATAAAAAAGAAGGCAACTGAAAAAACGAAAGGCAATTTTTCACCCATTTAATTAACACACATTAAAAACTTAAAAGGCAGGAGACAGGAGAAAATGATGTTTGAAAGAGTTTGGCTTAACTTACTTTCTTGCATTGCTCTGGGAAGTGTTAATTAACACAACCCTTTTAGGAACAATTGAGCAATATGTGTCATGGGTCTTTAAGACATTCTGACCTTTTGACCTGTTAATTTTACTTCCAGGATACAACCAAAAATGAAATAATCCTGAATAACACAGAAAGTTCATGTAAAAAGTACTTCATTAAAATTATATTTATGATTGTGATACATTGAAAATAACTTCTACATCCAAATAATTCAAGTTGTATCTATGAAGAGTGTTTTAAAAACCAATTTTTGTCATTGTCAAATTCAAGATATAATTTTATAATGAAAAACTTCATTGAAATATGCATACAAAGAAAGTATGAGAATTATACAACTACTTTATAAAACAAGTGGAATTATGAGTGATTATGCTTCTTTTTTACTTTTTTATTTTTGAAATTTTACAAAGGGGATCTATTGTACTGTAATAATCAGGAGGAAATTTTATTTAAAACAAAAACTTGGAATAAATTGTGAAGTTCCTATATGAAAAATCACTAAAGAGCACCCTCACCCCCTACCACCCCCTGAAATCAAACAAACAAACAAATGAACAACAACAACAACAAAAAAAAAACCTATGGCTTAAGTAGTTGGTCTGAAATTTGAGGACATTTAGTCGTGCCACTCGACTCCCACCCCAAAGATGTAACCCTAGACCCGTTAGGCATTTATAATCTGACAGCACTAAGGAGGTCTCTGAAATCCCTCCTGTCCCAACAGGAGGGAAGCAAAGTCGTTTTAGAGGAGAATAAGTTCAGATTGGATGAGAGTAAATTACAATCATTGCCAAAGCAAACTGTGTCAGAATTACAGGTGATGAAAGTCCGATACACCTCAAACCAAATTTTGAACAAATGAAGACAGAAGGAATTTTCTGCAATTAGCCTATCAACTCCTCTCAAGGTGTGTTAACTCCATGAGAGCACAGGCCTTTCCTGTCTGGATGACATTTGTAATATCTGATCTCTGGCATGTACAAAGGGCTCAAGAAATATGTGGTGGGCTGAGTGAGGTGGATCGTGCCTATAATCAGCACTTTGGGAGACAAAGCTGGGAGGATCACTTGAGCCCAGGAGTTTAAAACCAACCTGGGCAACATAGCAAGACCCTATCTCTACAAAAATAAATACAAAAATTAGCCAGGTGTGGTGGCCTGCACCTGTAGTCCCAGCTACTCAGGAAGCTGAGACAGAAGGTTGCTTGGGTCCAGGAGTTTGACTGTGCCACTGCACTCCAGCCTCAGTGACAGAGCTAGACCTTGTGAAAGACAGGCAGACAGAAAGAAAGGAAGAAAGAGAGAGAGAGAAAAAGAGGGAGGGAAGAAAGGAGGGAGGATGCAAAGAAGGAAGGAAGTAAGAGAGGGAGGATGGAAGGAAGGAAGGGAGGGAGGGAGGAAGGAAGGAAGGAAGGACGGGGAGGGAGGGAGGGAGATAGGGGAGGGAGGGAGGGAGGAAGGGATAGAGAGATAATGAGAGAGACAGAGATGTGGTGAATGAATAAATAAACTCAGTTGCTTCAGCCAGAAACCTAGGAGACTTCTTCAGTTTTCTATAGCCTTGACCCCATGACCAATCCGTCCTTTTGGTTCCTTCTTAAAATATATCCCCAGTTGTCCGCTTCGGCCCCTTCCACTGCCCATTCCTCACTCCAGGCCATGCTCTCTCTTTTCTGGAAAACTTTTAACAGCCTCCCCTCAGCTTTTCTTTCTCTAGTCCTCTTCCTAGGCATTGTCCACCAACCAGCCAGATTTGATCTCAAAGCCCGATCAAATCATGTCACTCTGCCACTTGGCTTCAAAGTTTCCAACTGTTCCCACTCCTGATCGTGGTCCTCAGTCACAGCTGTAACTGCCACTTCCTATTTCCTCCGAACTCTCAACTCATGCCACTTGCGTATTCATCATCATGCTGCGATCACATCCTTCTGCTTCCAGTTCCCCCAGTTTACTCAATTTCCAACCTCCTTCCCACCTCAAGCCCATTTAAATGTTCCCACTGCCCAGAATACACTTTCTTCCACTCAGGTTTCAGCTTAAATAATCTGTCTTCAAAGACACCTTTCTTGTCCAAATATTTAAAGAAGACTTCCTTGTTATCTTCCGTAGATTTCACTTTTATTTTTGCTTTGTACAGCACTTATGATAATTTGTTATTAGTTATATATTTATCTATCCGTCTGTTTCTCCCACCTGACACCTCATGAGAACAGGGACTATTATCAGTATTGTCTACTGTTGCATCCCAATGTGTTAGGTGTAGAGCTGTTCACGTCCATTTGCTATATGAATGAATGAGCTCTTATAAGCTGTGCATTAAGAACAGGCAGTTCACGTCCATTTGCTATATGAACGAATGAGCTCCTAAAGAAAGAAGTGATGGACAACACAGGTTTATTGAATGAGTAGTGGATGGGATGGACCAGCATGGAGCTAGCAGGCAGTTTTTTTTTTTTAAATGAGAAAGCAATAATAAAACTAGCACTAAACTGCAACAGCCCATCTGACCAGACTCTTTCATCAACTCACATGGAAGGCATGAAGAGCAGAGCATCATTATAAGGACTTCAAGTACAAATGGAAGATGATGTACGCCAAACCGTTTTACTAACGTTATGTAATTCATTAGTGTGAATTCTCTCTGTGTTAAATATATATATAAGCTTATACTTTTAATTTTCAGTAATTCTCACCAATTTTTGTCTGTTTGTGGGCACAATATTCTGAAACTTAAGAAGACTATTGGACCAAAAAGGATCAGACAGTGAGGCTGGTGCCCACAATGAATAAAGCAGGCAAGATCTACCTTTCCAGATTGGTCTAAAAAGAGCCTGTTTACATGTCGGGGGCAGATTATCCCTTAAGAGAACACAGATGGCAGAGGAGAGACACTGCAGGATGATGCACCCAACATGTGGGGAAAGTAATTATAAAGGGATTTAAGACCGTGGCAGAAACAGAGAGGTTAAGTCTCAATCCCTTCTGTGGTGTATTAAATGGCAAAATAAAAAAGCTTTGGAACATCAAACTAAACTCATCTGGCAAATTGTTTTTGGAAAGAGATGGGTTTGTGCATTTGGACTCTTGTCAGCTGTGTAAACACACTATTATCTAGCAGGTTATCATCGAGGTTCTCTAAACACCGTGAAGGCTCACTGTACCTGCCCACTGGCCCAGCATAGCCTGGAAGAGAGCTGTCCTCCTAGGTGGCCTTGAAAGTTACTATCTCCACAATGGAGCACATCACCACCATTTGCTTTATGTTCACAATGACCTTTTCTGGTGGGAATCCAGCCCAGAGAAGCACGGTTTTCCAGAAGAATGAAGGGTTGGTTGACAACCCTGACTGAATGGTAGGATAAAAAAAAGATGGTCTGCTGGCTGCATAATCATTCTGTTTTCTTTTTTAGGTTCCCCAATTATGTTAATTCAGAAACTGTATCTATTAATTGCCCAATTAGACATCTGGTAATCACTCTCTACAGAAATATCCCAAATCATAGTGGCAAGAGCTGGGTGCACTATTTTATTGTATCACAAATAAAAATCTAATTTAGATTTAATAAAAACTAATTCCAGCTAATTTAATACCAATTGATCATTAATGGGGTGCATTTTGTGGTTTATCAAGTATATAAGAAGGGTATATAATTAACTGGAAATGGTGTCCACAAGGTTATAATTAAATCCTTGGCAACTTTTAACTTTCAGCAAATGTTTTACCACTTAATTAACATTTCAGAAGATGATTTATATATGATTTATTAAATGCCGATTGCACAGGGTGCTGGGACAACTAATCATGTAGTGATGAAGCCTCCTATTTACAAAAGGTCTCTTCTTTTGAGCTAAGTAAATATCTTCTTGTGGAGTAAATAAGATGTCTACATATCTTTTTCATAAAAATTAATAATCAATTATGGACTAAAGTAATTGGATTATTTTAATATTCTAGTGCTGGCATTGTATTCACAGTAATTTTATTTTTATTTAACAGAGACTCAGAGAGTCAGATAGAATAACGAAGAAGAAGAGTTTGCTTGATTTTTCTCAACTTCCTTCGCTGAACTCTAAGCACCACTTCCATTAGACTAGAAGAGGCAAGAGGGCAGGGACCATGCCTGTATTCTTCACTGCTGCACCTTCAGCTCTTTGCACATAGTCGGCAACTAGTGAATGACTACCTGTTACAGAGATGAAGACAGTTACTGTAAGGAGCACACAGCTGAGAAGGTGGTAGAATCCATGAAATTAAACCATCTCAGTTTACATTCAAAATTCCCTATCTTCTAAAGTTGGCTACAATGAATACTGTATGTACTGATTTATAGTTTGATTTAACACATAAAATGGAAGTACTGTTATGAGATTTAAAGAAGATACTGCATGTGAAGGACCCAGTGGAGTAAACACTGAATACATGTTGGCCAAGCTCCATCTCCTATGTGGCATTCATCACAATTAAAATTTCCCATTGATTTGGGTGATAATCTGTCTTTCTTTCCCAACCAGATCAGAAGCTCCACGAAGGCAGGACTGGGATACCGTGGTGAGCAAATCTAGCTTTGCTCACCTGGTATCCCAGAACACACTAGGATGATTGCAACCTTGGCCTCCAGTGAATATGTGCTTAACCGACGAATGGATGAATGAAGACACTAGCCTTATTTGTTACTAAAATTGCCTAACATAGTTGGCCCTCCAATCCTGTGTTCTTCAAAAGATGAAAAGAAAACCAGAACTCAAATCATGGTTTGTTGCTTATGAAATGAACCATTGCGTGTTAAAAATTGTGGCAGTTTGTTCCCCACAGCAGGGCAAGTCCCCACAGGACCCCTGGCCTCAGGTTCTACCTTCAGCCTTCTGACAGAACTCCAGTAATTGTGCAGTTGTGGTCTTCCAGCATTCTGAGCTGCCTTTGTGCTCCCAATATAGTCGTCAGAGCTTATTGGAGCATCATTTCCCTACAAATATCTCAATATGGTCCCATGCCAAGCCTGGTCCTGCAGGGACCATCTCATTTGCATCTGAAGGTATCAAAATCTTGCTGAGCAAGTGCCTTCTACCCCAAACATCTTTCGAGATACAAGCTCAGCACCCTTTTAACGTGAGACTTCTCGCTTTCCCTGAGGCCTGTTCTGGGAAGGTGAGCTATATTAAACTTGCTGCCATAATGTTTGGGCTTATTGATTTTTTAAAAATAGTTGGCACCAAACATCCAAAAGGCAGTTTAAAAAAATCAAAGGGGGAAAGAAACAAGAAGGGAAAAATATGCAGTCTACTGCAGCATTTAGCAATGTCCACTGTGGTAGGCATTTCCAAGTGTGTACGCTTCAAGATGTAACAAAACCAGGGCTCTTTCCTTGATGGTCTTTTAAAATGAAGGTGACAGCTTAAGGCCATAAGCAACAGCAAAAAGAGGAAAGCAAGTTCATTGTTTTATACAGCCAGGCCAGTGCTTGGCTGACTTGAGGAAAGCAGAAAACAAACTTAGGTGAGATTCCTTGCAAGTAAGGATTCTCTTCTGCTATTAGTTCTGGCAACCTCTAAAATTTGACAGCCAGATTCATTATGGGAATCTTGAGGTCTGCAATATTACCACAAATTCAAAGGCGCTGTTCACACAGTTGCCTTTTGAGGTTGCAGGATCAAGTTTGCTCATCGATTAGATTTAGCCTTTCTGAGCCGAGTGCAGGAAACGTTGAGGGGGATTTTTTTTTTTTTTGGTGTATAACATAACTACATTTATTTAAGAATGTATTCCAATATGAACAGCAAATTTCAACAATGCAAAAACTGCAATTATGTTTGCACTAACCTAATAGTATCTTATTGTTGTTTCAATGTGCATTTTTCTTTTTCTATTTTTTTTTATTATACTTTAAGTTTTAGGTACATGTGCACAACGTGCAGGTTAGTTACATATGTATACATGTGCCATATTGGTGTGCTGCACCCATTAACTTGTCATTTAACATTAGGTATATCTCCTAATGCTATCCCTCCCCCCTCCCCCCACCCCACAACAGGCCCCGGTGTGTGATGTTTGAGGGGGATGTTTAAGCCAGTATCAGGTACAAAATCATCATCTCAAACTTGTGCCCAATAGCCACAATTGAAAGAGGGTTGGGGTCATGGTATAATTCATCCATTTATCCCTCCCTTCTTCCCTACATCCCTTTATCTATCCATCTATTCATTGATTTCACCCTTCCTCTCCCTCCCACTCCTGCCCTTCATCCATCCATCCAAAAGTCATATGTCAGACATTGCACTAGGCACCGTGATTTATAAGATGATAGAATTATGTCTAATCATCAAATATATCTCATCTTCCAGATCTGCCATGCTCTTCATTCCTTCATGCTTTTGCCCTCGCTACTACTAATCCTGCAATATTCCTCAATACTGGAAAAGTTCCTTCCCATTGTTAAAATCACAGTTCAAAGGTACCATCACTTGAGATATTTCTCAAGTGTCTGAGCCTGAATTGTTTCTACTTATTTGCTTAATACTTTATGCATATGTACTCATTAGCTCTTGCTATGTTTTACGTTAGTTATTTAAAATAATAGCCACAACAATAAATAGATCTTATTAAACAAATACAGTGACTACTTTGCTAAGCACTTCACGTGTATTAAACATTTAATCCTCCCAACAGTTCTAAGAAGAAGTTACTATTATTATCCTTAGTTTACAGAAGAAATTGAGGGACCAAAAAGTCATTTATGTGGCACTCAGCTTGGCAGTGAGCTCATGAAGGGACTCTGTGTACTAAGTTTAGTTAATGCTTGTCACAGAGGCACAGTATATGTGTATGTGTGTGTGTGTGTATGTGTCTGTGTGTGTGTGTGTATGTACAGTTCCCTGATTCATCATCTATATATGGATATATTAGTGAATAAAAATAAATCCAACACAAAATTCTAGGATTCCAGGTCTGTCCTCACCTTCCTAAATGACTGAACACAATTCTGAAAATTACAAAATAGCCTAATGTTATAGTGGTTCCTACTTGACCAGCTACATTTGTCATTCAGATGTGAATTCACTTTGGATTTTTGTGCAATTCAAGGGACTGTTGCTGGGTGCTAAATATATATCAGGCACCCTGATACGCATTTTGCATTTTACATAGATTATCTAATTTAAGAACTCGCAACACTCTGTTAGGTAAGGACAATTGCTATTTCATTTTACAGGTGCAGAAAAACTGAGGCTTAGATGTTAGGAACCTGGCCCAAGGTCACCTAGCTAGGAAACAGTGAATTTGGTGTTCAGAGTTACACAGGCTTTCACCAGAGCCTTGAAGCCTCAGCACCATACTCTGCTAACAGACACATAGAGAGAGATACAGCAAGAAATGAGGTGAGGGAAAAGGCAGATGCAGAAAGCAGGAGAGGAACATTATTTCTCGAACCGTTTAAATACTTAGACATTCTTGCCCTGACTTTAAGGCTCACTGTTTTCAATACCTATTCAAAGCACCTTGAAATGTTGAGCACTTGAATAAAATATCCCTGAGAAAAGGCTGTACTTCTGCTCAAGGACAAGACGTGTGTGTGTGTGTGTGTGTGTGTGTGTGCGCGTGTACAATCTATAAGACTCCATATTAATGTTGTTTAGAGCTTTTAAGTTCAAAATAAGATTCTTAATTGCAAAGTTATGATGGCATGGTTGACTATGATGCCCTTTCCATCTCTATGGGATGTTTTCTGTTTAGGTTTGTAAATAAATCTGTCTATACCACTGGCCTTGGCATTCAAAGTATCCCTACAAATGCCGTTATTTCTTGTACTGTAATATCCTACCAAGAGTTCAGCAAAGCTTTAAGTAAGAATGACATGCACTCATTCTGCAACCACTTGCAGTTGCTTATCTGTCCCCACCACAACCTTGAAATTCCTTTTTCAAATATCACAAATGACCCTTGGCTCACCAAAACAAATGGTCTCTTCTTAAGCATCATTTTTCCTGTAACTTGCTGAACTCTTAGATATCACTCACTCATTAGTCTCCCCATTGAAGCTCGGTACTGCCTGAGCTTCTATGTCTTAAGGTATCTTCTCATTTCACCATTTATTTACAATTTCACTATACAGCTTACAGAGGTCATCACATGCTCAAGGCTCAAGGGTCAACTTTTCTATTAGTTTCTCAAATAAAAAGGGTTCAAGCCCCCTTCCTGAGATATGAGAAAACAACAAATTTGATAATTATCCTGCAGATTTTGATCGTCCATTTAAGAATCCCTATTTTAAGATCATTGGCTGCAGAGTCAATGTCCAAAACTTCATTTTGAAACAGCTGTACATAGAAAAGGAGCAAAAACCCGGTTTTTCAAAGTGGGTGCAGGATAACTTTATTTCCAATCATAAGACTCTTGCCTTGTACCTGTGATTTATCTGGCTTCTACCTGTTGAGTATGACAAACTATATTTCAACAGACACAGACTTTGGAGACTGAGAAATATGACAGACAGTAAATGAAAAATGGAAAGAAAACGTGAGTCCTCTTTCATTTATAAAAAGTCGGCATTTTTTCAGACCCTGTGTCCTGAACAAAGATAAAGAGGAGAGGATGTTTGCAACCAAAAAAAAAAAACCTTATAACTGATATGCGATTGTACAAAAGAGTCAAACTATAATGATGTTTTGAAGAGGCTCATTCACTCTTTGGTTTTTCAAGGAATAAAAATTGTCTGAGGCAGAACACACACACATGTGCACACACACACACAGTGCTCACAGTGTTTCACTACAACCCAGCTACCTGCTGTGATTAATTAATATGAAAACACTATTAGAGATATTGGCACTTAACCTTAGGCTGTTCACACACATTTCCTTAATGGAGATGGCTATCAGGTTCTCACTTAGGAGTCTGGGGGTTGAGGGCAGAATGGGGAGTCAAGCCTAACCCTGACGAGGTCATCCACTACCCATACACACAGCATGACAAGATGCTGTTCTAGGGTCCAGGACTGGATTAACTTTTATAAACTTGGCATGGCCAGAAGGATTTAAAAACTGGTATCCAACCAGAGAATCCAATATAGACTTTGGTTCTGGGGCATGGCAGTTATACAGCAAGTGATGAAGAAAGGAAACAAAACAAGGAGTTGGGAGTCTCTGGGCTGTAGGAATGAGTGAGGGCAAAGAGAGTTGGGGAAGGAAGTGAATCAAATGCATCTGTCCTGCCTATGCACAAATGAGTCCTTGAGGGTCTAAAGTTCCATGGCATTAGCTGCTGAACCAGGATGTAGGTGGGTTGGTCAGGTTTCAAAGCACAAGGTTGGCATAGCTGAGAGCCAGCAGGGAAAGACCGTTTACATATTTCTCAAAAAAAAAATCGATGAGAAAATTAAATGACATTGAAGGGACATTGGGACCATTTATCTGCTTTTTTGGAGGATAAATGTTTTGCAAATATGCTTCCCTCTTTTTATATTTTTATGATAAAAGACATAACATTATTATGTCTTTTACATAATAACTTGATAAACTAAAAACTGCTTCTTCTTCCGCCTCTACTTTGTGGATTTTTGAAATAATATTTACATTGACATGAGAGCATATTTTTCTTATCAATTGAATTGGTGGGTATGGCAACATTTAATTTCTTGAAGAGATGTCTATCAACATAGTGGTGAAAAAAAGAAGTCATATACATTGTACCAGCATGAATATTCACTGCCTCCAACAATAACAAAATATTATAATAATAATACTAGTACTAGCAACAATGACAGCAACAATACCCCCTACAACAATTGAGGTACAGAGAGCAGAGATTCCATGGTCAGGTAGCCCAAGACTCAAATTCCTGGCACCTCCTTCTGATTCAGTAACCTTTGGTATGAATCCCTTTAAGTGACAATTTCATGCATAGAAAAGGAAGTTAATTATACATAATTCATAGGGTTATAAACAACTCATAAGGTTGTGGGGGAAATGTATTATGAAACAAAATAAAAGGAAAGGAAGAAAAGAAAAAAACGTCCTGGGTATTTTCTAGCACATAGTAGGTTCCTCATAAATGACTGTCTCCACATCTGTTTTCCTGATCTCGAAGCCAGTTCAGCAACTTTTGAAGTTTTCCAAAGAAGAAAAATGACACTACAAACAGATGAATCAAAGCATGTCTGAATTATTTTCTCTCACGCAAAACAGTGTTATCTCTAGAGCCATTTGCGCTACCATTCCCCATCAACAATAGAGATGGCCTCTTTTACTCCATGGAGTTTCACTGTAGAAGTGCTGACCTAACTCTGGCCCCACACAGATCCCTCCCTTAGCCATAAAGTGAGATACTTCAATAATTCAAAGCTGACAGCAAAAGACAATGTTTATTGAGAAAGATGGTGGTCAAAACAATTTTTGAAAAACAGACTGAGAGTGAGTACATGCACAATAATATATATGAATTCAGTTCTTATGTGAGAGGCAGTGTGCTAAGAACTACATAAATAAAATCTAGTCGAATGTTCAAAACAACCAATAAAGGCAGGGAGCTTATGATCTCCACTTTACAGGTGGGGAAACCAAGATTTTAGTGGCCATTAAGCCAATTGCGCAAAGTCACAGAGATACCAAGTAGCTAGCTAAAATTCCACAGGCTTTCTCCAGATCCCAAGTGTGGAATCTTGATTTTATCCTTACAGAAGGAAGAAAATGCATACTATACACAGAGGGAGAGGCAGGAAGAGAGAAAAAGAGACAGAGAGAGAGAAATTTAAAAAGAAAGGTAAACAAAGTTTATTAACAAACAATGATAGTCAATCACTGAATGAGATTGGAGACTATTATTCTAAGTGATGTAACTCAGGAATGGAAAACCAAATATCCTATGTTCTCACTGATATGTGGGAGCTAAGCTATGAGGACGCAAAGGCATAGAAATGATACAATGGACTTTGGGGACTTGGGGGGAAGAGTATGAGGGGGGCGAGAGATAAAAGACTATAAATATGGTGCAGTGTATGCTTCTCGGGTGATGGGTGCACCAAAATCTCACAAATCACCACTGAAGAACTGGCTCATATAACCAAATACCACCTGTACCCCAATAACATATGGAAAAATAAAATTAAAAAAGGAAACACAAATAATTGAGTTGCTTACTAAAAAAATCACTTGACTTTTTTAAATGTTTTTTCTTCCTAATAACCCACTTTTGAAACACATTAGAATCTTAAGACCTTGAATAAAATATTCTGAAAAAAAGCTAAACTTCTGTCTAGAGGCAATACATTTGTACACAGGAAGAATACAATTGCTTTACATGTTTTTAAGGACTTTATTCTCAAAGGAACAGTCTTATTTCTACAGCCTGTAATTTATGCTGGCTTGGCTGGACCTTATTTTTCTCCTCACAGTCCCAGTGGTGAAATGTCATTTTCAGTTGGTGTCTATGAATAGACCTATAGACACCACTGACCTTGGTGGATGAAACCCATGCCGTTGATGGAATTATTTTCATACTGGAATGGCCCCCAGGAATTCAACCAAATGTGGAGCAGTGATAGTTTGTTATCACTCAACAACCTTTCAATCTGGTATGTCTTCCCTGAGTGATCTTTAAATTCTTCATCTCAAGAATCACAAGACGCCCTCTGTCACTCGCAAACACAATTTTTTTTTCTCAGCCTTCAATTGTTGTAGGATTTTAGTTATTTTAGGCTTTTTGTTTAAACCATTTGACACCCCCACCTCTTTACAATTGGTTGTCTAAACTTGCATAACTTGTTGACTTTATTTTACATTTTTCACAATGAAACTACTTTAACATCCAAATGTCTACATGCCCAGCTTTAAAGGGTGAATTCCCCTTTGATACCATCCACCTATCCCTTCATGTTAAAAGCCAAAGTGTGTGTGCGTTTGTTGAAATTGTCTCCATCTCAGCTCCAGGTCAGGCAGGAACTCAAGTTTAGAGGATCAGCCTAGTCAATATCCTTGGCCACAGTGATTGGTTCAAGAATGGGCATGTAATCCTATACAACCCCAGTGATTGGTTCAAGAATGGGCATGTAATCTTATACAATCCCAGGAATGTTTTCACATTTTAGAAGGTGAGGTGCGCTCTTTCCTTTTGAACTGGAACATGAAAAGATGTGAGCCTCCAGGTGCTAACAGCCACCCTGCTACCATGTATCTTGTGAGAATTAATCCAACTCAGAGGAAAGCAGAATTGAGAGGTGAAGGGTGGCTGCCCTGGTGATAATGAGCTCCTGGGAATATTGCCTCTGCATCGTATTACCAGGGATGGCTTTATGGGCATGTAGTGACTGCAATCACACGTGACCCTATGGTTGAGGTTTAATGCCCTACAGCCATTGTCTTAAAATTACTAGTAAATGTATCTTCAGAATTGTATTTAGTAAGTGAAATTCAATGGGACAATGGAGTGTCAACCAGGAGCTTGGAGCTATGGCTCATGAATGGTCCTGCCTCCTGCTACTCTCCTCCCTCCCTGGGACAATTTCTCCACACCTTGGTCTCTGCTCCCAAGAGCTGTGGACTCCACGTGGCCTCCTGCTCCCTGTGCCCTATAGCTGATCTGCAATAGGTGCTTCTCTTTGCCAGGCTTGATGGCTGGCTAACATCAACAGGGGAAGACCTGTGTCATGCAGCAACTTGGGGAAGAGCTAGATGGTGACCATCTTTGTCCCACGCTGGGAGCACCAAGATGTGTTCAGCAGTTGGTCCACTAGGCAGGATCCAAGTGTGTCCTGGAGTGGAGGCTGCAATACCTTGAATTGCAGCAGTGAGCCCCATGGAAAAGAGAGATTGATTTCCCATCCTCCAAAAGGTCCCACCTCTTTGTTTTTCACTGGGCCCTGCCAATTATGACACTGGCCCTGCATGTTATACATGGAGTTTGCAAGTATGTGAGATAATAAACTCCTTTTTCTGCTTAAGAATCTTTGAAGGAGATTTCCTGTCAGAGGCCTAATGGACACATTGTTTTCTGCTCAGACCTGGGTCAACAGCCACGTTGCAGCCCCTGGTCTTGCTCTTTGCCTGGCTACCCTCTACACAGCTATGCTGGCCTCACAGATCACCTGTTGCCTCTTCTCACTGCTTCTGTGTGCTGCTGCTACTCTGCTGATTCCCCCGAGTCCATGGAGTAGACATTAGACTCTTTCTTAATCCCCTAAAGCACAGCTGAACCCATGATGTTTGAAAATGAGCCTAGCATCTAAAAAATTAAAGCAGATACTATAATAAAGGTATACTAAGTCTCAAAGCTAGACTGTGAGCCCTGGACTCTTCAGTTCACAGGCTTCTGCAGGAGGACACCTCCTTGCCATCTTTCTTCTCAGCCTCTGAGTAGAAATCCCAAGTGGATGCAAATTCCAGTTGCCCTCATACCCTCAGACCCACACTCCCCTCAGAATCTATACCCACATTTCCCTGAAGCCCTTGGAAAAAGAAATTCCAGTGTCAGACCAACCTCTGAACAGTAACAAAGGAACTCATTAAAAATACTAGTACTGATTTTTATATTCGAATCTGACTCCATCTTCACCACCATAATTTTAAAGATGTTGTAGTTAGGTCAACACAGGACTCCTCACTATGCAACATATATGTTGTTTCATGTTTGTAATGATTTAAAAGACATTTCCATTTCTAATGATTTAATTGAATAGGAAATCATAAAACAATCTTACTTAAAAATATAGATGTAAAAATTCTACCTACCACATTAACAAAAGGAACCCAAGACTGTTATGACCACCTAGGACTTACTGAAGAATGAAACAATGGTTAAATACTAGAAATTTCAATGACTCAACAATAAAAATTAGATGACTTTTCAGAAGATACAGAAAAAAATTAATAAAATTTAAGATCTTTTAATAAATAAACTTTAAGGAAATGAGGAACGGAAGGGAATTACCATAACCTGACAAAAGTTACCTCATAAATAGTGATGTTTTAAAAACATTTCCATTAAACTGGGGTTCAAGATGCGAATTCCCATTATTACATCTTTTATTCAACCCTTTTCTGGAGGTCTTAGCCAGTAAATTAAGGAAGGAGGAAAAGAAAGAATGAAAGAAGGAAAGAAAAATGGAGTCAAGGAGAGAGGAAGAGAGAGAAGGAAGGAGAAAGAAAGGAAAATGTAGCAATTGAAAGAAAATAATCAAAAGTGTTCACAAATAATATGGTCTTTGTTGAAAATATTAAAATATCTACAGAAAATTTATTGGAACAAATGAGAGTGTTTATCAGTATTGTTAGGTAATAGTTCAGTGTCAAAATACACAATTTTTTAAAAAGTCAATGGTGTCTAATAGAAACAGATTAGGAAATATGATTTTTAAATATTCACAACAGAAACTAAAATATAAAACACAATGAGATATTTATAAAAGGAAATATTGAAGAAAGTAAGACCTAAGTGTGTGTGTGTGTGTATATACATATACATACGTGTGTATATACACATGTACATACGTGTGTATATACACATGTACATACGTGTGTGTATACACATGTACATACGTGTGTGTATACACATGTACATACGTGTGTGTATACACATGTACATACGTGTGTGTATACACATGTACATACGTGTGTGTATACACATGTACATACGTGTGTGTATACACATATACATACGTGTGTGTGTATACACATATACATACGTGTGTGTGTATACACATATACATACGTGTGTGTGTGTATACACATATACATACGTGTGTGTATATACACATATACATACGTGTGTGTATATACACATATACATACGTGTGTATATATACATATACATACGTGTGTGTATATATACATATACATACGTGTGTGTATACATATACATATACATGTATATACATGTATATATATACAAAGACATATATACATGTATATGTATATATATACACACGTATGTATATGTATATATGTATATACGTATACATGTATATATGTATATATGTATATGTGTGTATATATGTGTATATATATGTGTATATGTGTATATATGTGTATATATGTATATATATGTGTATATATGTATATATATGTGTATATATGTGTATATATGTGTGTATATATGTATATATGTATGTATATGTGTGTATATATGTATATATGTATATATATGTGTGTATATATATACGCATATATACGCGTATATATGTATATTCGTATATATACGCGTATATACGCGTATATTCGTATATATACACGTATATATGTATATATACGTATGTATATGTATATAAAATTATATCTTTATATTTGTATAACATTTTAAGGGTGGGAAGATTTACTATGTAAAATATACCGATTTTCCTTAAATTAATCTCATGTAAGTCTTTACTTATAGTAAAATACACCCTTTACTCCATTGAATATTATTAAAATTCCGAAGTGTTTCTTTTGGAAACTAGATAACCTTTAAAGTTAATATGAATGAGTAAAGGACAGAGGAAAAAAAGGTGAGGGTCACACTAACATTAACAATATTTAAGGTGAACTTTAATAATTATTTCAGAATGATATTGGTACAGAGATGGGAAAATAAGTCAAATCTTTTATGCACCAATATTATACAGTATTATAATTAGAATCCCAAAACATGTGAGCAGGTAAATGAGTACTTGCTATATTTCAGAATTGGCTTTCTAATGAGTGAGTAATGGATAGGCAATTGAATTGATGGTATTGAGTGGAGGCAGGGGCGGGGGAGTGGTGAAGATTGTCATTCATATACAAAATCACATGCATTTAGATACTTGTCTCACATTAGATTCACAAAAGTAACTTCTAACAGTGCAAAATGTCAAAGACAATTAGATACCACTTATGCTCACGTTAAAAACATGAGAAACAATCCTACGTCCAGTTGCAAGGACAATTTAGGTAGAAAGTATAAAATTTAATGAAGGATTCTCATCAATTTTAGTACCAGGAAAGGAGGATGAAATGAGGGTGGGTGGGTCTTTAGCTGTATCTGTATATTTTACTTCTTTTCAAAAAAAAGAAACATGACAGAATATTAAGAGTTTAATAATCTGGTAATAGGCATAGCAATATCTGATTTCTGGTTTTTGTAATTTTCTCTATCCTATAATTTAGGGGTATGATAAGAAACAATTATAATAAACTGGTCAGTTACCATGTGTTCAACAAATGACATTCACCACTTAAACAGAACAACAGAGGGACAAAAATATGAACATTTCAATTAATGCTGAAAAAGTTTCTGTTAAAGTCAATATCCATTAACAATCAGGGAGAAACTTAAAAAGCCCAAAAAATTAGGAATACAGGTAAACTCCTCAACTTGATAGACGGCATTAAACAAACCACAACTAACATAATATTTGATAGTAAAATATTGAATGTTTTACCCTCTACATGTAGAAACAACATACATACATCCACTCATACCTTATCTAGTCAACATGGTTCAGGAGGCTCCAGCCAAAGAAAACAAGACAAGAAAAATAAATAAAAGACATACAATTTGAGGAAAACCAAAGATCTCAACAAATAAGCTGCTAGAGTTAAATAAGTGAATTTAGAAAAAGTCACAGGACACAAGGTCAAAAGATAAACACAAACCATTTCTAAATATGCGGAGGCAAAAATTTGAAAATTAAACACTCCAAATTAACTGAAAAAATTTGAGTCATAGGTAAATGAAAAGAGATACCATATTCAAGGATAGGACAACATGATATTAAAAATATAATTTCTCCCCAAATTGCTGAATATTTAATTTAATTTCATTCAAAATCTGGCAGACGTTTTATAGAAACAACAATACATTTCTAAAGTTTTATATGGAAATGCGAAGTACCTGGAATAGCCAGTGTCATATTTAAAAAGAACAAATTAGAAAAATTACTCTTTTGAATATGAAGATGACCTATAAAACTGCAATAATTAAGACAGTGTTCTATTTCTTATTCAACCATCACAAAGAGCACACTACTGATATACTCAACAAGATAGATGATTTTTTGAAACGTTATGCTGAACAAAATAAACTAGACATAGATGAGTACATACTGCATGATTTCATTTATGTCCAAAGTAGGGAAAGAGCAGTCTGGTAGGTCAAGAATGAGGGGGTCTATCTGGGCAGGCTAGGTTATGTTGTGGTGATTAACAATCCTATAATCTCAATGGTTTAAAACAAGAGTTTACTTCTTGCTCATTCTACATAATCATTGTGAGTTAACAGAAAGGCTTTCCTTATAGCCAGGCTGATGGAGCAGATACCACTCAGAAAGAGAGTTCAGGAGGCTCTTGCACAGGCAATTAAATTTTCAAGTCTGGAAGTGTCACAAGAGATTTGCCTTTATAACCCATTGATCTTGCTCCCGGCCCCACCCAACATAAGGAGGGAGGCAGGAGGAGTAATCCTTCCATGTGCTCAGAAGGCAGAGTCAGAAGTACATGGCTAGCAATTCAATTGACTACCACTGCTAGATGGATAGTAGTGGTTGAAAAACAAGTCAATAATATAAGGAAAGGTCTTAAAACTACTAGGATGCTGTAGCCAGTGAAGAATCTATAAGAAGCAGGCTAAGGGACTTCAGTAACAGAGATCTATAATATTCAATTACAACCTGTTGGCTTTGGTTGATTTCATATGTTACTCCTCTTCTCATCAAAATCTTCTATAGAGACAAATAATTATTTTCTTCAAGTTTTGTTTTGTAAAAAAACAAGATAAGTGATGACATTTTATGTAGCAAGGAATTTATGCTCAGAAGAGGTATAATGTCATTGCTCCAAGTCAAAGTTGCTGACAAGAATGAGCCTTCAAGGAATCTATAAAAATCACGAAGAGTCTATTGGGTGCCCTCAAGTCATGGATTGGAGTTAGATCCCAATTTATCTAACTCTTAAGGAGCAGGGTTGTCTCAGCTAATGATGGTTGTCAGGAAGAAAGGAAATAAGAGGTTTTTGAAATGGTCTCATAGAGTGCTTAGTGTGGAGGCAATGCTCAACAAATATTACTTTAAATGTAAAAACAAAAGAACGCTAGACCTGTAAGAATTATATAAGTTCTATACAAAATGATGCTGATAAAGAGTGGCAACACGACCAAGAATATGTTATGACAACTTCAATACAGCCCTGGTGTCCATATCTGGGTCTCGTGATAATTTCACTGTTAATTTCAGGACAGTGACTTCTGTTATACTACTGTGAACTACACCCAGGCTGCTAAGTATTTCCTGCCTATTTTCAAGGGTGACCAAAAACCAAGAGAAGATTTCTTCATAGCCTGGCAGGGTTAGGACCACATTATTTTCACAGTCAAGTGTGAAAGTTGGAACTCAAGCCTGTACAGCAGGCAGGGGCCCTGGGAGGGTTTAGCAGTTGAGAAATGCTCTGTCCACCGAGTTGGTGTCTTCTGCTCTCTTCCTGAACTCAGTAATTGGGATGACTCAATTGGGATGCTCCTTCACTCATCCCTTCATTGGGATGCTCTCAATTAGCGTGTTTACTTGTTTGTGTTTTCTTTATTGATTCACATTTTGCATCTCCCTTCTACTTCCCCAAAACAAATACTTTAATAAAGAGAGGAGGAACTATGGAGTGACTTTCCTCCTCTTCCCCACAGCTCTTCCTGACAATGTGCTGCTGACTCTGCCTCAGTATGTGCCCTTGTGCCCATACAACCTGGCTGCTTTGGTTGTCACCTCTTTATCTGTACCCTAGAAATGCTGGGCAGCCTTCCTCTGAGTCTCCTTGTCTCCTTCCTTGTTCATTTCCAGGTGATTCTCTACACTGTCCAGAATCAAAGTGTTAAAATTGAGTCTTGGCCTGACATGTCTGGTTTAAACATCTTCAACAGTTTCCAGTATCTGAAGGACAGGTTGTAAGCAGGGTGCACATAGAAGATGTTGATGGGACTTCTTGCAGATTTTTTTGAATTTTTTTCATAATTTCTGCTTGAGCTTCTCTTGGCTTTTGCTACCTGCCACCTCTTCATCTGCTGGCACAAGGAGCACAAAGTGCTGAGGGGTTTTCAACCCATGAATAAAGGGAGAAAACCCTGAAGCATCACTTCCACTCCAGAACTCCCCTGCAGCACAGTGACAGCCTGAACCTTCCGTCCATGGGCCTTGGCCTGAAATCACACCCCGGCTTGGGTTCTTCCCCATCTATTTCCTGCTTTCCCCATTCTTATGCTGGCATCTCCTAGGAGCATCTTCTTAATAAGCCACTTGTATGTGACTCCCCCTCTCAGGATCAACTTCTAGGGACCTGATCTAAAGCATCCCACTACCCCTGACCAAATTCAGTTTCAATAAATGGTCAAATGAGTATTTTTTTTACTTTTATAAATTTTTCTTTAATTTTTGCAAGTCCAAGCAGTTTTTTGCACTTTTGGTTTTAAGGAGAATGGTGCCTAATAATAAATTGTATCTTTGAAGGAAGTTAAAGTCTGTAGCCATTTTAATTTTAAAATTCAAACAATTTCTGGTGGCCATTATTTGGAAAATTTCCTAGAGTTTAGACAGTTTCATTACATTTTCATAGAGCCATGAAGCCAGCTTCAAACAGCTTTTAGCCCCATTAAATTGTCTTTTTTTCCCTTCAACTTTCATTTTAAGTTCTGGGTGACATGTGCAGGATGTGCAGCTTTTTACATAGGCAAATGTGTGCCATGGTGGTTTGCTACACAGATAAACCCATCACCTAGGTATTCAGCCAGCATTCATTAGCTAGTCTTCCTGATGCTCTTCCTCCCCTGCCACCCCCGACAAGCCCCAGTGCATATCGTTCCCCCCGATTTGTCCATGCATTCCAAATGAGTATTTTCATACTGCATTTACTAGCCCAATTCCTTCTGTTTTATTTTAGTCCTGTTTTTTTCTCTCTCTTTTTTTTTCTCACTTTCTGTGCCCTTTCTCTGAAGGCATTTGAGTTTTTAACTCCTGACCCTTAGGCTTTAGACTAGGGTAGGATGATTTAGGGCTCTTGACAGTCTCATTCCATTATGTACGTCTGGCTTCAGCTTCCACCTCTCTGTCTCAGGCACCCTCATTTCTTCTAAGAGACACTTGATGTCTTCCCATTTTCTAACCATGCAGGTCCTCACTCAACTTTGTTTCTTTACACATGCTGCTTGATCTAAATGAAAGACTCTCCCCTGCTTAGGTCCACTTAGCAAAATTCTGTTCATCAAGGCCTTTATCACATGTTCATTCCCAGCGCATCACAGTTTAGAATAACTGAACAAAGCCCAGTGCTGGAGGAAATGAGAAAGAGAGACAAAAGGTAGAAAGTAAGAAGGAGAGATGATCCAGGGAGGCAGCTGTTTCTATTCTGGAATTCATGAAAGAATGCCAGGAGACAGGAAAACCTCCTCAATTCTGCACGATATTGGTATATTTCTGCTTGTTTCTGGGGATTTCATAGCTTTTATCTCCTAGATATCTTTACTAAGAGTAAGAGACAGAGAGGGAGAGAGAGACAAAAAAGAGAATACGAATTTTTTAACATTCTCCACATTTCCGAACTATATTTGGACTTCTCCTCACCATAACATCATGAGGTCTACAGCTACCTTTGTTCCCATTTTAGAGATAATAAAACCGAGGTTTGGAAAAGTGATGACTCTT